>NC_000002.12:30117625-30270375 GCF_000001405.40 Homo sapiens | reverse complement strand
CACAGCGAGGATTGGGAACCACTCCTGTGTAGCTGTCTCAGGCCTAAGGGGCATCTGGCAGGGGGAGGAGCAGAAGAAATGGAGAATAGCAAAAACCTCCCAGCCAGGGCAAGCCAGCCCTGGTTTTTGTTCTAAGGGCACCTTTAAGATAAAAGGAAGGAGGTTGTCCTGGGATTCTGAGTTCTAATCTCAAATTTGCCTCCCCCAACTTGCTATGTGTCCCTGAGCCCAGTTAATGCTAGTCAAATAAGGAACAAGTCAACAAACTGTCCTCTGAGCCCTCAGTGTCCTCACTTAAACGTGAGGCTATTTATTTCCTCCAGCCCAAACATCCTGTTTCCCCTGCCTTTTCTGGCCCAATTCTGCTCCGTGATCCTGCTGAAGTGGAATCATTTGCAGCTTCCGTGGGATGCACTCGTAAGAGACATGGAGGCCTGCTTCCATTCACATGAAGTTCAGACTCAGCTATGTGATGAGGACAGAACAGTGGTCACCCTTTGGAGGAGTGGTTGACAGTGAGGGATACTAGGGAGCCTTCTGGGGTGTGACAGCGTTCTGTATCTTGACCTGGGTAGTGGTTTTATGGGTGTACAAATGTAAGCTGACCTAGTCCCCTACAATTGAGCACTTTCTGTAATTTATACTTCAATTATCAACAAAGAATGAGTAGTGCTCAACAGGCCCCCAGGAGAAAGCCAGGTCCTTAGAGTGTTACCGGGGGTCCTTGCTCCCAGATCTCCTAAGATGGTGGCAGGTGGCTTCCAAGATGGCGGTGAGCCACTTCCAAGATGGCAGCAAGCCTCGTGTTCTCTGACCTGGGGTTCTTGGCCTCATGGATTCCAAGGAATGGAATCTTGGGCCATGTGGTGAGTGTTATAGCTCTATTAGAAGTGGTGGGTCACGGAAGAAAACAATGGGACCCAGTGACTAGTGTTCAGCTCGATTAGGACAAACCTGGGCACTTAGCCGTGCAGGGACAATGGCAAGCCTTCAGCCCTATTGGGAGTGGCAGTGGGTTCCTTGCTGGATCAGGAGCACAGCGGACACCCTGCTAGATCCAGAGGGATGGAAGTCAGCGGCGGGTCTGCAACGGCGGCAAACAGCAGTGGTGGATGAAGTTCAGCTCGAGCCGTAACAAACACGGACCAGAAGAGTGTGCAGTTGCAAGATTTAATAGAGTGAAAACAGAGCTCCCATACAAGGGGAGGGGACCCAAAGAGGGTAGCCGTTGCTGGCTCGAATGCCTGGGTTTACATCCCAATCATTGTCCCTCCTGCTGTGCTCTCAGGCAATAGATGATTGGCTATTTCTTTACCTCCTGTTTTTGCCTAATTACCATTTTAGTGAGCTCTCTTTACTACCTGACTGGTCTGGTGTGAGCTAAGTTGCAAGCCCTGTGTCTAAAGGTGGATGTGGTCACCTTCCCAGCTAGGTTTAGGGATTCTTAGTCGGCCTAGGAAATCCAGCTAGTCCTATCTCTCAAGAGTACTGGGAGACAGGAGCTGAGGACATTGCTAAGCTTGGGAGCTAAAGCAGAAATTGGGTAGAAGGTGAGAGAGTGACAGCCAGAGAGAGACAGATGGGAACAGAAATGGAAACTCAGATAGAGAATGTGCTATGGGACTAACTTGACCCAAATTCCAGGCAGTTGAATTAGTCCTAGGTGAAAGGGGTGGAGTTTGGACAGCCTGTACCGGTTTGCCCTGGGACTTTCCCCCTTCTTAGCACTCAAATTTCTGTGTCCCATGAAACCTCTAGGCCAAGGTAAATGGGGACAGTTCATCCCCCTGCTCCCAGGCCCAGGGCTGTGGGTGGCATTTGGATTGCTGGGGAGGGAATGGAGCAGGCCTAGGGGAAGCTACTCCCACCCAGGGCCAACAAGCTGTTCCGGGGCAGCCCATGTCGGTGTAGGTGGATGGGCTGTCTCCTCTCTGGCCAGGGGTTGGCTGTGAATCCACCAAGGGTCTGAAACGAGGCAGTGGCCCCCTGTTTCTCCGCCCTCCAGATCCTACTCCAGCCCTCCCAGGCTTTCCCAGTCATGCCATCTGCCCATACAGTCTCTGCCTTCACAGCACCCATTAGGCTAGTGTGCAGTGTTTCTTTGCTTCTGGATATTTCTATCTGGCTTTGAGCTCTTTAGGGGTAAGAGTGAATTTTCCTTGGGGTTGCACACTACTGTAGCTCTACTCGGGGCTGGAGCATCATCTCCTCGGGCAATTTAATCTTAATCTTTTTTGGGCTGAGGATCTTTTTGGCAGCTTGAAGAAGTTTTAATTCCCTTCTCAGAATAATGCTTTAAATGCATAACATAAAATACAGAGAGTTGCAAAGAAAATAAAGTCTGCTGACATACAGCCATCAAAAAGAATTTTAGAAACACATTTGTAAAAAAAAAAAGAAAAAGTCAGAAATATCCTTCTTTATTAAAGCTTTACCTAATGAGATCCAGCAGCAGCTATAATTTTGAGGTAGCCATGGCTACAAATGATATTTCATGATACCTGCAACAAGTGTACTGTGAAAATGAAAATACTTGTGATTTTTTATTCGTGACAAATTGCAGGTGCTGCTGACACCACTGCGGTTTGTTGCCTGCATTCCTACAAACAGGAAATGCTGAATTTCACTTAGTAATTAACTAAAATATAGATGTAATTTTTGTCCCATCCAATGTCACATGCACCCCTAAATTCTAGGAACCCGAGGTTAAGAAATGCTGTGTAGGTGGATGGAAGATAAGAACTGAGCTTTGTAAACTGTCGAGTGGAAAGTCCTTGTGAATATTGTTCATTCTTGAGGGACGTGGGTGCTCTTAGGATAGGCAAGGGAGGTTGAGAACCAGGCTGAAACTAGATGATTAACCAGCAAACTGTGAGGTCAGAAGCAAACAGGGGACCCTAGTTCCTATGTGTCAGAGCTGGCTGCTAATCCTCAACACGCTTTGTTGTAGTCAAGTAAATGATAGAGTTGGATATTTGTCCCCGCCCAAATCCCATGTTGAAATGTAATCCCCAGTGTTGGAGGCGGGGCCTAGTGGGAGGTCACAGGGGCGGATCCCTAATGGCTTGGTGCTGTCCTCGCCATAGTGAGTGAGTTCCTGCAAGATCAGGTTAAGTGTGTGGCACCTCTCCCATCCCCTTGCTTTCTCTCGCTTCTCTTTCACCACGTGACGTGCAAGCTTCTGCTTTGCCTTCTGCCAAGAGTGAAAGCTCCCTGAGGCCTCCACAGAAGCCAAGCAGATATCAGCACCATGCCTGTACAGCCTGCAGAACCGTGAGCCAATTAAAATTTCGTTGCTTTATAAATTATCCAGTCTCAGGTATTTCTTTACAGCAATGCAAGAATGGCCTAATACGGTAACATCTGATGTAGCTCTGCCTTCCACACCCTTCACTGGTGTGTGGGAGCATGTACCAGCTGGCAGTGCTGGGGAACCATGGGGAGCCTGTGTCTTTGGTCTGGAGAGAAAGGTTTGGAGAACAGCGGGAAGTGCTTTTGGGTCAGCACAGGGCCTGGGGTCATAGCCTACCGTAGCCAAAGGAGAGGCTTGTAAGGCTGCTGGGGCTTTCTGCACAGGCCCTGCCTGGGACAATCCTTTGGGTAAGAACTGCTGGGGCCTTCTTTTAAGATGAGAGTCCCCCTGGGAGAGGTGGTGCATTCAGACCTGAAGGTCTTGGCATGAGTGATTTTTTAAATACCACCTTGTGCAAGAGATCGGGGGAGGAAAAACTCTGCAGGCAAGTGGCCCCATTGCTGGCGCCAGCCCAAGTGACCTTGGGCAGGAAAAGTGCCCTCTAATTAGCAATCAGGAAATCAAGGCACAGCATGGCGCCAGGCAGCATGACCCCAGCTGTAGCCTGGTGACACTGCAGCCCTCTAGACGGCATGCCCTTGCCCCTGCACGGTAGGGCTGGGACCCTGTGGGTTATTTTTTACCTGATGTCACTATTGTTGGTTGTCTGCTAGCTGCTGCAGTGGGTGCCAGCAGTGACAAACATGCAGTGAGGGTTTCCTGTGTAGCTTCCGCCTCCTTCCCCATGCACAGTTCCTCCCTCCTCCAGGGCTCGGCAGCGATTTGAAGGCTACCCAGAGCCTAATCCTGGCCTTGGAGGAGACCAAGGACATAGTGGCCTTCCCAGGCTTGTCCCCTACACACTGACCACACAGTCTCCACCCTTGGGTGTGCCAGCCCCATTTCCTCTGCAGAGAGATGTATTAAGCTACTTTTTCTAGTTGCCTCTCTCCCACTGCCATGACTCCACTAAGTAAAAGTACTGCTTTCTAGAAAGCCAGATTCCCCAGATCAGTGGCTCTCAAACTGTTTTGACTGTGACCCACAGAAAGAAAAATATTTTTTTTCATGACCAAGTACACACATTTATCCACATGTAGGGATGAAACAAAAAAAATTCAGGGAATAACATTTATTCTTCCTATATCTGCTGTACTCTGATTTTTCCTCTTCTATTGTCGTCTTTTCTATTTGTTTTCTTTCTTTTTTAAAAAATTCTGGTTGCAGCCCACAAATGGATTACTTTCACAACCCCATAATGAGTCATGATTTAGCTTGAAAAATACTGTGCCAGATAACTTTCCAGAATGATTTCTCTTTTCCAAATGGAGGACGGGCACTAGAGTTTATTGAGTCCCTGTGAATTAGGCACTGTCCTGGTTTTGAGTGATATCCATCTTCTTGAAAAGGAGACTGAGGCTCAGGCAGGCTGAGCCCATTTCCTTCTAGCA
Source organism: Homo sapiens (assembly GCF_000001405.40). Taxonomy (NCBI): domain Eukaryota; kingdom Metazoa; phylum Chordata; class Mammalia; order Primates; family Hominidae; genus Homo; species Homo sapiens. The sequence goes on along the minus strand of NC_000002.12, from coordinate 30,265,632 downwards.
TAGAAGTGGAGGATCAGGGATTCCAGAGGTGTGCTGCTGCAGGCTTGCACTGGCTCCCATCTCATCCAGTCCCACAAAATCAGCCATGGTGGGAGCATTTACACCATGGAAATTGGCAAACACTATGAATCAGGGCCTTTTTTTTTTTTTTTTTTTTTTTAAATCTCAGAGGGCTGGTTGTTACACATTTACCAGCACACCATTTGTTCTAATTCTACTGTTTTCCAAAGTCAGTATATTTTGAAGTCCTCTGACCTCAGCTTCCTCATCTGTAAAGTAACATTAAAAATGTCCATTTTGTAGGAAAAATTTATATTCATTGAGCCCATTCTGGTAAGTATGGGGGAACAATGACTGGAAGGAAACCAAAATGCAAATAACTGATATGTTACCATGATGGGATTTGAAAGATGAAGTCCCTAAATTTCACCATCTTTTATAATTTCCATCATTGCTAAATGTACTTTGTGCTAAATATACTTTTCATTATATATACGAAAACCCACACTTTGCAAGAAGTGTGATGAGAATTAGAAGAAATGGAGGTAAACCAGTGCTCTGCAATTGGCAGCCGCCAATAATAGAAAAGTGTGAATTCACAGTTTTCTGACTGAAAACGGCAAAGGAAATATTGCAAATGAATTGCATGTCAAAGTAGGACCTTTTATCCAGGTAAACAGAGAGAAGGGAGTAGTCTAATGAATATTCTGATTCAAGACTATACTGATGATCATATCACACACAAATCACTAATTTTTGAAATTCTAGAAGAAGGGATCTATAGCCTCAAATTTATCTAGTCCTAGGTCAGTCATGGCTCCCTCCGTCTGAGAGATACCTCTAGCTAGTGGCGCCAAGAGAAGACTGATCCTTAGGAAGCTGTGGGCTCCAACTGCTGGATGGTGGCTTTAGCCTGACTGCAACCCCTTCCATTCACTCCCTCATCCCTGTTCTCTGAGGCCATGCGGGAAAAGTCTATCATCATCATTATCACAGTTGTGATGATAAAGGCTGCATTTGCTTCCTATTGTAGCTGTTAGCAAATTACCACAAACCTAGTGGTTTACAACAAATTTATTATCTTACAGTTCTGGAGGTCAGAAGTCCAAAATAGCTGTTACTAGGATAAAATCAAAGTGTTGGCAGGGCTCCATTCCTCTGGAGGCTCTAGGGAGAATCATGGCCTTGCCTTTTGCCGTTTCTAGAGGTGCCCGCATTCCTTGACTGGCAGCCTCTTTCTCTGTCTTCAAAGCCAGCAGCATTTCATCTTCACATCTCTCTGACTCACTCTCCTGCCCCCTTCTTTCATTATGGGGACCTTTGTGATTAGATTGGGCTCAAATATAATCCAGGATCTCCCCAAGCCAAGGTCAGCTGATTGGCAAACTTCATTCCCCTTTGCCATGTAACATTACATATTCACAGTTCCTCAGATGAGGACATGGACATCTGTGGGGGTGGAAGACATTATTCTGTCTCCCACAATGGCTAACATTTCTTTCTTTTTTTTTTTTTTTTGAGATGGAGTCTCACTCTGTCGCCCAGGCTGGAGTGCAGTGGCATGATCTCGGCTCATTGCAAGCTCTGCCTCCCGGGTTCTCGCCATTCTCCTGCCTCAGCCTCCCGAGTAGCTGGGACTACAGGCACCTGCCACCCCGCCCGGCTAATTTTTTGTATTTTTAGTAGAGATGGGGTTTCACCGCGTTAGCCAGGATGGTCTCGATCTTCTGACCTCGTGATCCGCCCACCTCGGCCTCCCAAAGTGCTGAGATTACAGGCGTGAGCCACTGTGCCCAGCCAACATTTCTTTTTCTTTTCTTTTTTCTTTTTTTTTTGAGATGGAGTTTCATTCTTGTTGCCCAGGCTGGAGTGCAATGACACGATCTTGGCTCACCACAACCTCCGCCTCCCGGGTTCAAGTGATTCTCCTGCCTCAGCCTCCCGAGTAGCTGGGATTACAGGCATGCACCACCACACCTGGCTAATTTTGTATTTTTAGTAGAGATGGGGTTTCTCCATGTTGGTCAGGCTGGTCTGGAACTCCTGACCTCAGGTGATCCGCCCGGCTCAGCCTCTCAAAGTGCTGGGATTAGAGACTTGAGCCATCGTGGCCGGCCTCACAATGGTTAACATTTCTTGAGCACTTATTATGTGTCTAGCAAAGTTCCAAGCATGTTACTTGTAATATGCATTTAGGTGTCGCCACAACCCTATGAGTTAGGTACTCGTTGTACAAATGAGGAAAGTGAGGCATAGAAAAGAAAAGTAACTTGCTCAAGGTCACACAACTAGTAAGAGGAAGGGCTCAGCTACAGATCCAGGGGTCTGATCTCGGAGCCAATGCTCTTAGCGACAATCACCCTTCAGTAATTTAAGGACAGATGTACAGACTGAATTCTACCTAATCTAATCCTCCTCTGATGATCCAGAAGTCCTTTCCGGATGTGACAGTGCCTCAGGTCCCTCAACATCGATTGCCGTAGGCCACCAGTTGGGCAACTTTAAATGGGCTGACCAATGGATTTCAGGGGCTGGGATGCCTGGTGAGCCTGTGTCCTTCCCTGAAGGCTTCTCACAATGGGCACCAGTGATTCTGAAACTCACCTTCATGAGGACCCATGAGGCACTGCTCTGTGGTGTTTGCTCTCAGCTTTCTCTTTTTCTCTACTCCAGACATACTAGCTTCATAGACATTCCTCAAAAAGATGGAGACAATCTCTACCCCAGGGCCTTTGCACTTGCTGTCTCCTCACCTAGAATCTCTTCCCAGTCTAGTCAAAGCTCAACTGTCATTTCAAAGAGTTTTCTGCCCAAGGATCCTCTCTTTAAAGAGGAGTCAGGCAGAGGTATAGACCCTCTCTGATGAGAGACCTCCCTCTCTTCCCTCTCCAATCTTTGGTGGGCAGAGGCATTACAGTTCCCTTCTCCTTGCCTTTCCCCTCTCAAGGTGATGAAGAAAAGGAGGCAGACAGAAGGAGTTGAATCTTGTCTTCACTTTGAAGCTACCTTTGTATCTGGTGTCCACAAAGGACCCAAAGCAAAAAGCAGCAGAGAGAAGGCAGAGTTAGTTCCTTAGCAACTAGGCCCTCAAAAGAGAGACAGAAAATATCCTGACTTGTGGAACACCTACTGGGTGCTCAATCTGCACACCCCTATGCGGGAGTTATTAGTCTTATATCCATTTTACAGACAAGAACACTGAGGATCCTAGACATTAACAAAATGGCCCCACAGCACCTATGGAGGGGCTGCACAGGACTCGAATGCAAGTCAGCTCGAATAACACAGCAAAGTCAGCCAGGTGTCACCCAATCCTTCTCCTTCAGGGAAGAGGAGGCAACTTGGGGTGAAGCAGGAGGGTATTGAAGCAACTGGCTAACCATGAAAAAGAATAACGAAACTTTTTTCCAAACAAATAATTATTTTGTTTAAAAGTCACATGGAGGCAGTGGGAGACAGAAGTGAAGACTCATCTTTCATCACCAGGGGCTATTTTCCTATGGATATCCAATTGTTCCAGTACCACTTGTTGAAAAGACTTCCTTCCTCCACTGAGCTGCCTTGGCACCTTTGTCAAAAATCTATTAACCACACATCTGTGGGTCTATTTCTGGACTCTATTCTGTTCCACTGATCTATTTGTCAATCTTGATGCCAACACCACACTGTTTTGATGACTGTAGCTTTGTATTAAGTTTTTGAAACTGAGAACTGAGAGTCCTCCAACTTTAGTTTCCTTTTTCAAAGTTGTTTTGGCTAGTCTGGGTTCTTTCCATTTCCATAGGAGTTTCAGAATTAGATCATCAATGTCTACAAAACAGCTTGCTGAGGTTTTGATTGTGTTGAGTCTATAGATCAATTTGGAGAGAATTGACATTTTAACATTGAGTCTTCAGATCCATGAACATGGTAGAGCTTTCATTGATGTAGGGATTCTTCGATTTCTCTCAGCAGTGTTTTGCAGTTTTCATTGTTTTGGAGGTTTTGCATATTTTGCATCAGAGTTACTCCTAAATAGTTTATATTTTTTTATGTTAATGTAAATTGCATTTTAAATGTCAAGGTTCTGTTATTTTTTTTTTTTTTTTGAGTTCTGGGATACATGTGCAGAATGTGCAGGTCTGTTACATAGGTATACATGTGCCATGGTGGTTTGCTGCACCTGTCAACCCGTCATCTAGGTTTTAAGCCCTGCATGCATTAGGTATTTGTCCTAATGCTCTCCTTCCCCTTACCCCCCACCCCCCGACAGGCCCCAGTGTGTGATGTTCCCCTCCCTGTGTCCATGTGTTCTTTGTTCAACTCCCACTTATGAGTGAGAACATGCAGTGTTTGTTTTTTTTGTCGGTGTTACCAACATATAGAAATGCAGTCATTTTGAATATTGAGCTTTGATCCTGCAACCATGTTAAACTCATTTATTAGTTCTAGTAGCTTTTTTGTGTAGATTTCATAGGATTTCCTACACAGATGATGTCATCTGCAAATAAAGACAGTTTTCTGCAGGGGTGTGTTCAAGGAGGCTGCATTCTAATAAATTCCTCTTCAGGCTGCTGGAGAAAAATAAAGGGGCAATCCATATGAGGAGGGTAAAGTCCGGCCAGTTATCCTTGGGGCAGCAGATCCATAGATCTAGTTGTTTCACTAAGGCTAGTGTTAAAATGGGTCATTATTCTGTAAATCCTGGTAGACACCTTCAGCACAAACCACTGGATTCTCTACACTTACCAAGGTTAAGGAACCCGGAGGAGGGCTGGGTGAAGGCAAAAATAGCCTTGGGTTAGAAAAATGCCCCCAAATCCCTTCTACAAACCACCATTCTCTCACTCTGACCTCCACAAAGCCTCCTTCCTGGTCTCTAGGTTTTTCATCTTGCCCCCTCCAATCCCATCTCCATTGAGCCAGGTTGTATTAAAATGTGAAACAGACCATGCTAGGTCCTTCCCTTAGAATAAAATCCAAACTCCTAGCCAGGACTGAGTAGCCCTCTTGCATGCTTTCCTCTTCTACCACTCCACCCGCCAAGCCCTTGCCAAGCTGTTCTCCCTGTTGGAATCATTTTCCAATGCCCCCAACTCCCCTCTGCTCCCTGCCACCTAGTACCTGGCTAACTTCTCCTTGTCACTGCTTCCAAAGACCTTCCTGACCCTCCCAACTGATGTTCACACTCAGGGCATCCCAGTTTGATCCTGCCTTGCACTCACCATATTCGTCATTTAATTTTTCACCAAGGCAGGGCCATGAGAACCAGGGCCATTGCCATTTGTGACCTTGACCTCTTACTAATGCCTGCCAAGCAGTAGGTGCTCAGTAAATGCTTTGCATGATAGCCTGAGCTTGCCACATGCCCACCCACTCACCCTCCAGCCCCTGTGAATGACCTTCAGATATGTCTTGGGTTTTTCTTCCTTTAGAAGGGTAGTTCACACCTTGGCTGTGGGTTAAATCTCCCCAGTGAATTCTCCCCAGACAAGCCATCAGGTGAGCTACATAAGGAGCCTCTCTTGGGACTCCCCCAGCTCAGCCTCCTGCAGGACTTCTTCTTGCTCCTGAGCTCACTCCATTCCAACGGAACAGGAAGGGAAAAAGGAAACCAGACCAGAGTGGAAAGCATTTTCAAACTTTATTTACAACTGTCACAGTGACAAAAAGTAGTTTGGAAAAAAAAAAATGCTAGTTTCTCCCTGAGCCTCAAAAAAGAACAGATAGAAGTTACAGGAGGTTCATCTCACAACAGGCATTTTTACTGAAATACTAGGAATTTTTTCAATACAATCAGTTAGAAATACACACAAATTACTTGAAAAAAAAAAAAAGAGGAGGCCAGATAGGAGCTCAGCCACTTGTCCAAGAGCAGCTGGGTCCCCCCAGCAGGCTCCACCGCTGAGGGTCCTGACATTAGCTGTCAGCCCCTGGCCTGCTCAGACTGCAAACGGTCATACAAAGTGGTCTAGGGACCAGCAAAAATAATAAACCACCCCCATAAACAGACACATACACAAAGTAGATTTGTTACGCAGTTTACAAGCATGTTCCCATCACACAGCAAGACCAGGACAGGTGATTCAGGGTAGCAGATAAGGGAAGACACCAAAACACAGGAATTGAAAAGGCAAGACCCCCGTCCACAAGGGGAGGCGAGGGAATGAGAGTATGGATGAACCACTCTCTGCAGCCAAAACAGAACGAAGCGGGGAGCAAGAGAGAGGAAAGCCCCTCTCGGTGCAGGCTGCCGGCCTCTCCCACTTCTGCGAGGAGTTGGAAGAAGTTATTGCCATTGATGTGTGTCACACAGGCAGACAACAGAGGGAGGAAGCAAGGGGTGCCGGCGACCATTGGCTTCCCAGAACGGAATTCCGCGGACTGCTGTGTCCACAGCGCACCCTCGTCCTCCTGCCCCGGCATCCCCAGAGCCACAATGACCTTGAGGTATTAAATACAGCTATATACACACGTCCAGAACTGAGGGTCAACCTGGACTGACTGGAGACCTGAGGGGACATGCTGCGTGCCTTGGTTGGCCGAGTTTAGCTCAAGGAAGGCTCTGAGTCCACCTCTTGGCCACACGGTACTGCTCTCGGCGGACTGAAGCATTTGTCCTGCAACCTGCTGCTTCAGATGGCTCTTAGCTACAATAAGAAATCCTAAGTCCAAAGGCCAACTTTCTCATACAACTGGTGCCCTTGCAGGAAGCAGTGGGAGGTGGGGAGGGATGAGGACCACTGTTGAGTAAGGACAGCAGAGGTCCCTTGCCATGCCTCCCTTCTGCCCTTGTCCGGGAACAACATGGGGAGAAGCCAGGGATCTCATGACATCCTTTAGTCTCAAACTCGATCCCAAGGTTGCCACGACAGCCTTGTCCCCACCATGCAAGTCACCTCCCCAACAAGACACATAAAAAGCCACGTCTGCTCTCCACTAGGCTCCCACAAGAAAAACAGACCAAGATCCCCCATGGGGCGTGAGTACTGCAGCTGGGCAGACTGGCGGGAATCCATAGGTGAGCTGGGGACCCATGTACCCATGGCTGCTGGGGCTGGGGCAGGGAAGGTGGCGGTGAGGAGAAGGAAGGGCCAGCCTGGAAGACCACGCCCACTCCATCTCGGGAGCAAGTCTTGGAAGGGCAGCAGTTAAGGGAGAGACCTTCGTGCTGAGTGTCCACCCTGGGGCTTCCAACAAGGGCAGGAAGTGCTCTCACTACTCCTAAAAAGTGCTGGGAAGCAAAATGGATATATCAGGGAGAAAAGCTGAAAAGCACTGCCTCTTAAAAACCGATCACACTGGCTATGTGAGCCTACCACAGCTGGGAGCAGAGAGGCCATGGAGTAGAATGGGGTGACCTTTCCTTTCCTGCACTTCACCTCCAGCTGGCTTTGCAGGCAGCCAATTGCTCCTGCTCTCCTTTACTCTCCTCCCTGTCATATAGACCAACACACCTGAAATGAAAGCAAAGGGTGGGGTGGGTGAAACTGGAGAGAGAGATGAAGACTTTGTTTTCTGATGTCCCAGCAGCCAGAGTGAATGTCTGCTGAGCGCATCCTGGCTGCAGTTCTCTGCTCAATGTTTTCTTAAAAACATGTATTTTTTCTTTTGCCTCATGTTTGTTTTCTTACCCCAAATGTTCCTTGCTTGCTTTGCACATGCCCCACCTCCCACCCACCAAGACCCATTGGAATCCCACCACTGCCTCTACTAGGCTGCCTGAGTTCAGATAATGATCTCAAAAACAGCACTCGCTCCCCTCACCCACTAACCCCCTGGCTCTAAGCAGCTTCCTTTCTCAGAGGGCCTTGCAAATTGTCAGAGGGCTCCACTGCTCGGCAAATTTCAAAAAAAAAAAAAGGCAAGAAAAGAAAAGAAAACCAACTCGGTGATCTGCAGGTGCAAAACAGAAGCCTCGTTTGACATTTTCAGAACAATTGCGGCTCACTCTCTTCTTCCGTCATGATGGGAAAAACACAGTTCAGGAACAGATGCTGGCTGGTATGACCCATGGGAGTCCACAGGGACTCTACTGCTCTTTATTTTCTTTCGCTGTCTCTTCGCAGTTATCTTGCTCATCCTCCTGGACCAGGAACTCCTCAGGGGGCCACCGGAGCTCCCCGCTCTCCACCTCCCCTTCTGTGGGTTCCACCACTATGGAGGGCAGACGGTCCTTCAGTTTGCAGCAGCGGTCAAAATCTGACGGGTCTGGGAAGATCTGAAAGAAAAGCAGAGCAGGTGCCTGGTCACGTAGATATTTGAAAAGAGAAATTCCATTCCTTCTTTGCACATCCATGTGGCATACTGGGTGCATGCCATAGGCCAGGGACTGTGCTTTGCACTCGGGAGGCTGTGGAGTATATAAGGTGGGAGCCACGGGAGAATATTCTGGGGCAACATAGGAAACTGTCCCTCAGTCAGACTTCCATTCCAATCCTGAAGCTGAAAGTTTGGGGGCAGTGCCGCTGAGTTTAAAGGTTGATGTGATTCTGTTTGGATTCTGTATTTTATTTGCAGATAAAATCATCCCAAATCATGTTATCCACAGTAAGTCTGGTCTCTCTCTGCAGGAAGTATTTTACTCCAGCAGTACAAAGAATACAACAGGTGCCACAGCATTAAGTACCTCCCGGAATAATTATTGGCACTAAGTGAGCAGGTTACCAGGTGCTATACATATATCACTTCCAACCCACACAGTCATGCTGAAAAACAGGTGTTGCTAATGCTAGCTTAAAGAATCTCAGGCTTGGGAGAGTAGGTGGTCCAAGACCAGACAGCCTAGAAATGAGTGAGGGATGGGATGAGATTGAAAACTGGGTCTGGGCTGGGCCTGGTGGCTCACACCTGTAATCCCAGTGCTTTCGGATGCTGAGGCAGGTGGATCACGAGGTCAGGAGATCGAGACCATCCTGGCTAACATGGTGAAACCTCTCATATGGTAAACTACTAAAAATACAAAAAAAATTAGGCGGGCATGGTGGTGGGCGCCTGTATTCCCAGCTACTCCGGAGACTGAGGCAGAAAATGGTGTGAACCCGGGAGGCGGAGCTTGTGGTGAGCCGAGATCACGCCACTGGACTCCAGTCTGGGCGACAGAGCGAGACTCCATCTTGAAAATAAAAAAAAACAAAAACTGGATATGTTCGATTCCCCTGCCCCAACACCAGCTTGTCCCTCAAGCAGATGGGTCCTCATCCCATTGCAACTGTAAAGTCAAAGCCAAATCCTGATGAACGGCATGGTCCCCAGTCACAGGCAGGCTGGGAACAAAATCCAAGGATCCTTTTTCACCTGTGAACAGTTCCTGGCTTCTTGCCAGCTCTACACCTGAAGGAGTCTACTTCTTTTTCCAGAGTCCCGTCAGCCAGGCTTTGTTTTTTAATGCCTACTTTGTGTCCTGCCCAGAGCTGGCAGAAACTCCAAACCCAGCTATAAAATCAGGGCCAAATCTGGCTCTGCGGATTCCCTTTGCATACACTGCCCTGTGACTACAGCTGACCCAATTCTTGGCCCAGCAGTTTAAGTACTTAATCCGCTGGGCTGCTGGTCCCTGCCATTCACAGCCCTCAGTGACACACCCCAGAGCTAGAGAGAGAAGCCTCTGTCTGGGATGCTGGGCTCCCAGAATCAGGCACTTGGCACCTTCATGGCCATCTCTTCCCACCTCTCCATTTGGTAGATGAGCAACTCAAGGCCCCAGAGGGGTCAGGAGACCTGCCTAAGGTCACACAGCTTGTTCATGGCACAAGAAAGGAAAGCAAAACTTTGAGTGGGTGGAGACACATTTGAAGAGATCTGGGGGGCTGCCTGGTCCTGCCTGCACCTTGATCCAGATGGGGACAGGCCCACGGCAGCAGACAGGAGTCACCCATTACCAGGACATAGAAGAAAGGCCCTTTTACAAACTCAGGCCTTCCCAACTTCTGTGGTGCTCTGAGGATACCCGGTCTTATTGCAACCCAACCCCATGCAGTGCTGCCCCAGCCAAGTCACACTCTCACCACATCACAGGCCACGTGGGGCTTCCAGGAATCACAGGCCTCAGTGAAGCCTTCCCAATACCTGCAAACGAGTGATTATTAACCATTTATCCAATAAGACCTATTGCTGGGGATTAAGCCTTAAGCCAGCTGCACAACCAGGCATCATTAAAGACTTAACGAGGCTCATAAAAGGTATCATAATGGCAGCCAGGAGGAAAACAAGTCCAGGGAGGGGATGGGCCAGTGTGGGTCACGGAGGCAGAGGGGGACACGGACCCCGACTCTGGGCTCTGTCTTCCTGACCAGGTTGGCCCAGAAGTTCTGCCCTCAGACGGCGCTGTGCCCAGACGTGCATGTGCCGAGCGAGGAGCGCCACGTGGGCTTTTTGGGTGCGTCCTCATTTCTTGGGTGGGGCCAGAGCCCCCCATGGGCTGTGAGGACACAAGGCGCCCTCCAAGCATGAGCTCTGAGAGTGGGTGAGAGGGACCCCGATGGAGGGAAGCCCACTACAGGTCACGAAGCTCTTTCAGATGTCAGCTCGTTCAGGGCTCACTGCCACTCTAGGAATAGTAAGACCCGGGACTCTGTGGGTCACATGGCAGAGCCAGGATTCAAACCTACATCTGCTGTTTTCAGTGCCTGAGCCTTCTGGAAAATGGATTAGGCTGCTGCTGGGTCTCCACCCCATTTCACAGATGGAAAACTGAGCAGGGAGGGAGAGTAAGACTCTGGGCCTTCACTGCCCAGGCAGCTGTGAGGGCCCCAGCCCAGGAGGTGAGCTTCCCAGTCCCAATGCTTGTTTTAAACCTTCAGGATCCAAGACAGCGCCATAAGCTGTCAAGAGGAGAGGGGGACCTGCCCTGTGAAGAGCCTGGCCCTGCCTCCACCCTCTGACCTCACTGCCAGGATTGTGCCTACCTGTGCCAGGGCCACATTGTCAGGGCTGGGAGAGTGAAAACCCAATTCTAACTATGACAGCCTAAGCCAAGGAAAAGCAAAAGGCATGACAAGCAGGGCAGGCCCAGCAAAAGGAGGAGGGGGGGAGGGGGAGGAGGAGGAGGAAGAGAGGAGGAAGAGGACGAAGAGGAGGAGAGGGGTGGGAAGCATTGGATTTCACTTCAAGCTGGAAACAGGTCTTTCATTAAAATAAGGAAAAAAATCTAATGATGATGATGATGGATGAAATTTTTCCTGAGCAGAATCTCAAACCTCACAATAATTCTAGTTACCACCCCCCAACTTATCCACAGTTTTGCTTTTCTTGGTTTCAGTTACCCACGGTCAACTGCAATCCCAAGATAGGTAGGTACGGTACAATAAGATATTGTGAGACAGAGACAGAGACAGAGAGAGACCACATTCACATAGCTTTTGTTGCAGTATAGTGTTATAATTGTTCTATTTTATTGTTAGCTATCATTGTTAATCTCACATTGAGTCTAATTTATAAATTAACCTTTATCACAGGTATGGATGTATAGGATAAAACATAGCATATGTGGGTTTGGTATTATCTGTGGTTTCAGGCAACCACTGTGTGTCCTGGAACGTATCCCCCAGAGATAACGGGGACTACTGTAACCCTATTTTGTGGATAAGAAACCTGAAGCACAGAGACGGTATGTGACTTGCTCAAAGCCACGCACCTGGGAAGCAGCTGAACTGGGATCCAAACTCAGACCTGTAGGACTTCAAATGAAGCGTTCACTTGATAGCATGGGTTAAGCCACACAACCCAGGTGCTCACTATGTCCTTGACCACCATTGTATAACTCCGGTCAAGTCCTCTCAACCCCAAACACCTCAGTTTCTCCTTTTGAGACATGAGGTGACCTTCTTGTCTCACTAGATGGGTACAAGTTCTTGGCAAATATAAAGATGATAAAATACTTTGAGGACATAAGCAAAATTGAAACTATAATGTCCTCTTTGGAGCAGTTTCAAAAGAACTACAGTAAGCATCCAATCTCCAAGCAAGAGGGAGTCATATGAACACAGTAATTAAAATAATTCCAAACAGCGCCATTCATACCGAGAGCTCCACAATTAAGTCTTTTAAGACCTTGCAAGAGGTCTGAGAATTGAACTTCTGATACTGCTTAGCTGCCAGAGGACTTTGCTCCCTGAATTGCTCGAAGCAAGCACTGTTTAAATTTTTTTGTTTGTTTGTTTACAAAGCCTATTAATTGTATTTTTAAAAATTACTACAATAATCGAACCCTTCCATCAGAGATCTTATTTTATTATCAGATTATACCCATTTGGGCCTCAAAATTGTAGCTCTCTCCAAACACAAAAAGTACCCAGAACCAACAGCTTCTGGTTTCCTTACAGACAGACAGAAAGCCTTGCAAAGTGCTGCTGAGTAATTTGCCAGCACAATCTTATCTCTGACAGCTGCTTCAGAGGCTGACCCCAAGGAGGTCAACATTTTTCCACTAAGTCATGCTTTTTAATCATCTAGGCAGCAGAAAAATGAGAGGTTGCAACTGCAATTTGACGGGTGGGGTAGGCAGTGGAAAAAAGGACTTGAGTCAGACTTGCCAAGCACATGACAGGTAGGGGTTGAGGCGGCAGGCCAGGCCGGCATGCTGCCTGCCTGCAGGAACTGGCAGGGAGTAAAGAACTGCCCCTGTTCCCAAAAGAAACTGCTTCTGGTTAAACCTCTTTCCCCAAAGTGCTCCTTCTCTCTGTACTACAGAAAGGCAAAAACAAACACAAATCATTTTCCCTTCTCTCTGCAGCTCTCAGAGGCATTTCTCACCCTCAGCCCAGGGTAGGGCAGGTCTAGAAGAATCCACCCCCAGCTGTGATTCTCCCAGCCCTACACCTTCCTCCCTCTGCCAGCCCTGGACTCCACATCCAGCAGCCACATTGGGCTGCCAAAGCTGATGGCTGAAATGAATCCAATGGACACCAAGTGTGTTAGTCCATTCTCATGCTACTATGAAGAAATCCCCAAGACTGGGTAATTTATAAAGGAAAGAGGTTTTTTTTTTTTTTGAGACGGAGTCTCGCTCTGTCACCCAGGCTGGAGTGCAGTGGCACGATCTCTGCTCACTGCAAGCTCCGCCTCCTGGGTTCACGCCATTCTCCTGCCTCAGCCTCCTGAGTAGCTTCGACGACAGGCGCCCGCCACCACGCCCGGCTAATTTTTTGTATTTTTAGTAGAGACGATGGTTCACCATGTTAGCCAGTATGGTCTCAATCTCCTGACCTCATGATCCGCCCGCCCTGGCCTCCCAAAGTGCTGGGATTACAGGCATGAGCCACTGCACCTGGCCTAAAGGAAAGAGGTTTAATTGCCTCACGGTTCCACATGGCTAGGAAGGCCTCAGGAAACTTACAATCATGGTGGAAGCGGAAGCAAACACATCCTTCTTCACAAGGTGGCAGGAGAGAGAAGTGCCGAGCAAAGGGAGAAAAGCCCCTTATAAAACCATCTGATCTTATGAGATCTCACTTACTATCATGATGAGAATGGCATGAGAGTAACCGCCCCCATGATTCAATTACCTCCTACCAGGTCCCTCCCATGAGACAAGGGGATTATGGGAACTACAATTCAAGATAAGATCTGGGTGGGGACACGGCCAAGCCATATCACCAAGTTCCATCCTTTGCAAATGGAATGAAGCCTTGACATTTACACACACCATGAATCTCCCAGGTCTTGCATTCTCCACTGTGTAGAAAAGTAAGCACCATTGTTCATCTCAGAAGCTCACCCTCAGGCCCAGGATTCTCTGCTCCAACAGCCTCTGCTGTTGGTCGGCCAAACAAACGCCCTGGGCTTCCCTGAAACATCTTGCTGCCTTCATCATCCTCATACTAAATCATCTATCCAACAAAGCAGCCACTCACCACACAGGGCCATTTAAAGTTACATTAAATTGATGTTTATATTATATCACATATAAATTTCTGTTAATAAAAATAAAATAAAAATTTTAGCCACCTTTCTTATTTTTTATTAGTTTTTTTTTTTTTTTTTTCTTGAGATAGGGTCTTGTTTTGTCACCCAGACTAGAGTGCAATGGCACAATCTCAGCTCACTGTAGCCTCAACCTTCCAGGATCAAGTGATCCTCCCACTTCAGCCTCCCAAAGTGCTGGGATTACAGGCATGAGCCACCATGCCTGGCCATGGTGATGGTGAATTTTACAGGGGACACCTCTTCGGAGGCATCCTTTGCCTGGTGGCCTCCAGTCCCAACAGGCCGTGGCATTTTGGGAACTCAAATGAATTCACTTGAAAGGTCAAGGGAGCTTCAAGGCTTCGTAGCAGGAAGAGATGGTCTGTAAGATACTGGAATTTCTGGCTGTATAGATCAGTGCTGTCCAAAAGAATGTTCTGCATATGGAAATGTTCTCTATCTGCGCTGTCCAGTACAGTAGCCACTTGCCATGTGTGACTATGGAGCACTTGAAAGGTGGCTAAAATTGGCCAGGCACGGGTGGCTCATGCCTGTAATCCTAGCACTTTGTGGGGCTGAGGTGGGAGGATTGCCTGAGCCTGGAAGGTTAAGGCTGCAATGAGCAGAGATTGTGCCATTGCACTCCAGCCTGGGTGACGAAACAAGACCCTTTCTCAAAAAAAAAAAAAAAAAAAAAATTCTACTGACAATAAAAAATAAGAATGGTGGCTAAAGTGTTATTTTTTATTTAATTTTTATTAATAGAAATTTATATTATATACTATAAATATCAATTTAATGTAACCTTAAATGGCCCTGTGTGGCGAGTGGCTGCCTCGTTGGATTGATGATTTAGTATGCGGACGATGAAGGCAGCAGGATGTTCCTGGGAATCCCAGGGCGTTTGTTTGACCGACCAACAGTGGAGGCTGTTGGACCAGAGAATCCTGGGCCTGAGGGTGAGCTTCTGGAGACCAGGAATTCCTCAGCAGGCTTCTTGCTTAGGCATAAAAGTTGCCGGTGAGCCAGTTCCCATTTCACCCTTGGAGGGGAACTGAAAGGCAACACCAGGGCTTCAAAGGCCCCAAATTTAGGGACCGGGCTATCAACTGTCTGCCTCCATGCCAGGTGACCTAAACCTGGCTGCCCCTGGGGTGGGAGAGGAGAGAGATGCCTGGCACCTGGCATGGAAAATGTGAGCGCTCCTGGTCAGAGCCACCCTCCCCTGAGTGTGCATCTCTCAGCCATCATCTGACAAACAACCCAAGCTGGCCACAAAGAGGCCGAGGGCTCTGCAAAGAGCCGAGAGATGCTAATAGGGAAAGCGGACACCAGCAGGTAGAGGAGATGAAAGGTGGTTAGCAGGACACAAAGGGCTAATGACCAGCTCTGCAAGCTGAGACCTCAGGAGCCTGGACATCTTGCTCTTTTTTGCAAAGGTGGAAAGAGGAAAGAGGAAGGCCGGGGGTGGAGAGGGAGGGGAGCGAGCCTGAGATACATAACCAGGCTAGCTCCCTAAGGCACTGTGGACAAAACCACACAGTAAGCTTCTACCCTCTCTTGTTGCAGAGAAGTAAGAACAATCAGCCCAAACCCGCTCAGGAAAATTGCTCTTCCCACAGGCAGACCACAGAGTCCGAAGGATCTGGCTTTTTCCTCGCCTCCATCTTTTATTATCGCTATGACCCTGGTCACGTCATTTTATCGCCTCTGAGCCTCAGCTGCCTCCCGAGTAAAATGAGAAAATCATTTCCACTTTACGGTATGGTTGGCAAGGTCACAGTGCTGTGCCTTGAGAGCCAGCACAGTGCCTGACAGGCTCATCGAAGCGGTGGCCTATTCTCCTCCTCTACTCCTCTATAATTTGGGTCAGTGCTAATGCTGATCTTGCAGGGCTTTGGAGAGAATCAAACACAGGTATGTGTGAACATGCCCTGTAAACTCTACCTTCCTAATGATGGTTCTTACTAGGTAAAGCTGGGGTCCCCCAGCAGCATTTAGAGTGAGGAACCAAGGGGTCAACAGCTGTGGCTTGGGACAGGAGCAAATACGCAGCACTCCTGGGCTTGTGCCCACAAATCCTAGGCCGAGTTCTTAGGAGAAATGGCTGCAACTTCATTCATCACTTCCCTCCCTGTGGCTCTGTTTCCCCAGGGCGTGGGTTAGGACCGGGGGAATGAAAACCATGCCCTTGTCACTACCCCGCCCCCAACCAGAGGCCTTCCTCTTCTTCTACCTCCTCCTTTCACTTACTCCAGGGGCCTGCCCCTCAGCTTCCCAACGTCTGGATTTCTTACTTCTCCTGGAGAACAACAATGAATTGCCTTGTGTGTTCCTTCCTTCCTACGATGGGCTGGCTTATAACAATGGGCAGATCTCTACCAGCATCCTGCTCTGCCAAGGGATGAATGAACAAGCAGCAGCTAATTCAAATAAAAAACCCACCTGTTCTTTGCCCCCTAACAATGTGTGAAGGCAAGAAATTCCGTCTTTGAAATACTTGCCTCCTGCTATTTTATTATCATCATTATTATTATTTGCATTTTACTGGCTTTTCCACGTGAAATGTGGCTAATAAGAACAGAAAGAATTGTAGCAAAGGGGCAGCAGGGCTACTAACTAGATGCAGGGAAGGAAGAATATTCTCCAGTCTCTACTCAGAGACTGTCCATCTTTAAGACTCTCATCTTCCTTAAATCTCCCCTGGACTGGGGTTACAGAACATCCACCTCACTCTGTTCTGCCTTGCCCTGGTGCCTCTAATCCTATAGAGGACTTAAGCAAAGATTTGGGGCTTATAACAACTGCTAGACCTCCTTCCTTTGGATCAAAGATGCTTAAGCCTCCAGCCTTGAAACTTAAAAGAAAAGGAAATCCTTTGGATAAACACCATCTTTCATAAACATCTCTCAAACACACACCCATCCTGCGAGTCAGGAGTTCCAAATTCTAATTAATTGCACTAATTTCTACTGCTAACTCTGGGCCCAGTGGAATGAGGAGGCTTTTGGAATGTTAGAGAACTTTTTTCTCCGGGGCAGTGAGAAAAGACTTGTTATCAGGCACAGATGACTTCAAATATTCACGACTTTTTGACTGTATCATCATTACCTTCTGGAAAGAAGACTGGCCCCCTGTCACCTCCAGGCATCTGTGGGTGGCACATCCGTCTCTCTATCCTCCCTCCACTAGTACTACCCAATGTCCCATGGTCACACCTCTCTCAGCTGCCATTTCTAACTATCCCCGCATTCTTTTTTTGGAAACACAAATCTTGAATATTTAGCCTGTCCCATTGCCTTCCATTTCTTGTTTGGGTTCCCTTCCTAACCCCCACCACGTAGCTTCCAAAAACATCCCTGGATGGAAACAAATCTCGAAGGCCTTCCTTGCAGCCCTGCCCCACGGCCTTTACTCCACTTTCATTCCGTCTCTACCCATTCTACAGTGCACTACCAGGACGACTCACTTTGTCCTCCACAAAAAATTTTTTTGCCCCACGCAAGACGTCTTCCTTGATAGTAGCTCCCATAAAAGAAGCTTGGAGATTTTAGTTGATCACAACTGCAGCATTGAGGCTAACAACTGAAGCAAATAGGGCTATATTCCTAGAGGTATATGCCTTTCAATGAAACCATCTACACTAACAGAGAGCTGATGGACCTGCTACCCTCTCATCAGGCATATTCTATTTAGCCTAGGGCAGCCATTCTCCAAGCTCAACTGCCAAGATCCTTTCAGTGAGGGAGCCTCCACAGAGGTAACATATTTTCATAGTAATACTAAGATGTCGTTTGCCTTTTTCAGTGTTAACACTTGCACTAAGGGTATAGAAAGCAACAGTGGAAGAAACTGCTGGCACCTTGGCGAGAATTAACATAGTGGCAGCAAACCATACTTGGCATCATCAATTGTTCGCCAGCTCACCCTCACGATTAAAACGAAAGCAAGCAAACAAAAAAAATTAATGCCCTTGATGAAGTGGTAAAAAGTAATTTATATTAAATATTGACTCAACCACATGTCACTTATGTATGTGGCACAGTGAAATGGACAGTTAGCCTACAACATTTCTGCTGCTGACGGAAGTACAACAGCTGTCTTGAGGAAAGCAGTCATGTGACAGAGTTGCCAGCTGAACTAGCCGCTCATGCCACGGAGCACCATTCTTACTTGAAAGAATGACCAACAAATTGTAGTTATTCCAACTTGGGTATTTGGCAGGCATTTTCTCAAAAATGGACAAAGTGACAAAGTGAGCCTGTCACTTCAAGGAAAATAACAGTATTTGTCACCAATGATAAAAATAGAGCTTTCAAGTGAAAATTAGAATTTTGAAAAAGTTGTATCAGCCACCATGAGCCTGACAGCTTCCTAATGCTTGAGATCAGTAGAGACATTAAGAAATGTGATTTTATGATATTGTATAATGAAATGAGTCAACATTTTGAAGACCTGCATAACTTGGTGAACCTATATTTTCCAAATGATCAGAACATTACACTAAGCATGGGTAAAAGATGCACTCAAAGTGCAAAATAGACTAATGAATTTTAGTGTACAAAAAGGTCATTGATAAGATGTCAGATATCACATTGCCACTAACATTTAAGAAACTACCACTTGTTGGCTGGGCACAGTGTTTCATGTCTATAATCCCAGCACTTTGGGAGGCTGAGGTGGGAGGACTGCTGGAGGCCGGGATTTCAAGACAAGCCTGGGCAACATAGTGAGACCCCATCTCTACAATTAAAAAAAAATAGCCAGGCATGGTGGCACATATCTATAGTCATAGGGACTTGGGGAGGCTGAGGCAGGAGGATCACTTGAGTCCAGGAGTTGGAGGCTGCAGTGAGCTATGACCATGCCACTGCACTCTAGCCTGGGTGACAGAGCAAAACGCTGAAAGAAAGAAAGAAAGGAGGGAGGGAGGGAGGGAGGGAGTGAGTGAGGAAGGAAAGAAAAAGAAAGAAAGAAAGAGAAAGAAGGAAGGAAAAAAGAGAAAGAGAGAAAGAAAGAGGAAAAAAACTAGTGAAGTACCAAAGAAACAAATCTGCATAGGCTAGATATCCTTCATTGACTTCAACCAACAACCAACACATACTGCAACAGATTGACTGGAGAAGCACATGAGAGTCTAGCCTAGTCTTCTATTAAACTAGACTTTAAACAGCCATGCAAAAACGTAAAACAATGCCTCTCCTCTCATTAAACATTTTCTGTTTTGGAAAATATATTTTTTACTAAAAACTGTTATTTACATTAACATGTAACAGTTTTGTTACTCTAAATGAATAAGTAAAAATTTTGAAAATTGTTCTAATTTCTGAAACAGTAAATATCAAAAGACATAATCAAAACAAAAGACATAATCATGAACAGAAGCTCTTTGGGTAGTCCTAAAATAAGTTTTAAGAGTGTGAAAGGGACCGAGACCAAAAGGTTTGAGAATAGTTGGCCTGGAGAAATAATCCTCAGTAAGATGACTATGGGCCAGGTGCAGTGGCTCACGCCTATAATCCCAGCACTTTAGGAGGTAAGGCGGGCAGATCACTTGAGGTCAAGAGTTTGAGACCAGCCTGGCCAACATGGCAAAACCTCATTTCTACTAAAAACACAAAAATTAGCCAGGCGTGGTGGTGCACGCCTGTGATTCCAGCTACTTGGGAGGCTGAGGCATGAGAATCCCTTGAACCCGGAAGGCGGAGGTTGCAGTGAGCTGGGATGGCACCACTGCATCCTGGGTGACGGAGTGAGATTGTGTCTCAAGGGAAAAAAAAAAAAAAAAGACTATGTAAGTCAAGGTTGAAAAACAACATATTTTAAAACTGGTAAAGATTTGAGGGGAACATAAAAGGTGCCTTCTGATATCTGAAAGGCTGATAGGTAGGGAAAGAACAGGTTTTTGTTGTTGCTTTTGTTTTTTAAACTCCAACGGGCACATCTTAGGATTAGGATGGTGGATTTCATGTCATTATTCGACTTTTAAAAAACACAATAAGGATTAGTTCTCTCACTTATACACATGGAAATCAGGCCCAAATAGGTGATGTGAGTTGCCTGAGATGACATAGGTAGCAGCAAAGCCAAGATTAGAAACCAGTTATCCGGATTCTTAAGTCTGTAATCCCTCTGTGCTGAGAGGTTCTGGACTCTGTGTCACAGTGTCCAAAGAATATCTAGGTAACCCGATGTCAGGCTACTGTAGAGGACATTCCTTATCAAGGTGATAGGACCAAGCTCAAAGCTGCCCTCCCCTCTGAGGACCTACAGTGCCATCGCTTTGATTCTGAAGAAAGTGTACGTATCCATGGTTTCCGAACTTCTAGTGTAGTCCCCAGTGGAATTCTGAACAACTCTGTCTCCTTTCACATGTTCTAAAATCCCTGATATATTATACATATTGACATTTTAAAATAAAATATACATACCACTCTTTTAAATGTACTAAATGGATTACAAATACCATAAGAATTTGACGGCAACCATGACCTATTAAAAAACTCAAGAACAAGCTCTTAAGTCAAATCTTGTATTCTTACTTTCTCTATGTAAAACTGTATTTCCATTCTACTTCTCCACAGAATTTTTTCTTGATGTAATATATTTTTATGTTTGAAAGTTTTTAGTCATTAGCTTTTCATAATTCTCTACAATAAAAAGATGTATTTATGCATACAAAATGATATTTTAAAAAATGTCCTACTTTAAGGCTTTGTTAATTTACAAATTCTGGATTGGTTTATTGCAGCTATTAGTATATAACTGATCAACAAACATATCACAAATAATTATTAAACACAAAGGTAAATTTTTATTGAGGTTTCTTTTTTTTCTGTTTGTTTGAGACAGGGTCTCACTTTTACCCAGGCTGGAGTGCAGTGGTGCGATCTCAGCTCACTGCAGCCTCCACCTCCTGGGCTCAAGCGATCCTCCCACCCCAGCCCCTCAAGTAGCTGGGACTACGGGTGCACACCACCACGCCTGGCTAATTTTTTTTTGTATTTGTTGTAGAGATGGAGTTTCCCTATGTTGCCCAGGCTGGTCTCAAACTCCTGAGCTCAAGCAATCTGCCCACCTCAGCCTCTCAAAGTGCTGGGATTATAGGTGTGAGCCACGCGTCCAGCCTTAATGAAGGTTTCTTACTGCAATAGTGAGTTGAATTGCGACAGGTTCTCCTCTTGTAAAGGGGGAGAAGGGCAGTTTTGAAAGAAAGGTAGGACAAGGAAGCAGGTGAAGCTAGTCTTCAGGAAATGCAATTTGCAAAAAGCAAGAGAAGAAGGCTTAAGATGTGGAAATGGATTTCCTGAAAACCCTCCCTGCCATCATGTCCTTTGGAAAGTGTCTGTGAACCCCAGAGGCAGCTGTCCTCCCATTTTAACATTTTGTTAAAATGTGAAGTAGTATAAGCATTATTAAGAAGTAATTTGGCATACAAATCTCTAACACTCAACTGCCAATGAAAACAGTCAGGAAGGTTCCTGATGCTTCAACTGCCATACCCGAGGGGCACATGACCAAAGAGATACCCATTTTAGAGGATCCTAAAAGGATTGTGCTGTGGAATTTCACACTCATGTAAGCTGGTATGTGTCAGCCTTGTGATATCACCTTCATCATCCCTGTTATGTCCACATACATGTCTTAGTTTCCTCCACTCATTTATTTAAAACATACTTGTTTAAAAATCTACCACTACATAAATGGAAAACTAGTCTTACATTTTTCAAGCTGTCTGTATAGCACCTAAATGAACTTTGTAAACCATCAGGAGTATGTGGACCCTGCTAGAGCACTGGCCTGGGCTGTCTACGTGTTGCAAAGCACCTAGACCCTTGGAGAGTTGTTGGGTACGTGGCCCTTCGACACTGGGTCCAAGACTTCCATTATGTTAAGATCTACTTTTAAGAGTCCAGCCCAGGCCAGGCGCAGTGGCTCACGTCTGTAATCCCAGCAATTTGGGAGGCTGAGGCAGGTGGATCACCTGAGGTCAGGAGTTCGAGAACAGCCTGGCCAACATGGAGAAACCCGTCTCCACTAAAAATGCAAAAACTAGCTGGGCATGTAGTGGGTGCCTGTAATCCCAGCTACTGAGGGAACTGAGGCAGGAAAATCACTTGAACCAGGGAGGCGGAGGTTGCAGTGAGCTGAGATCGTGCCACTGCACTCAAGCCCAGGTGACAGAGCAAGATTCCATCTCAAAAAAAAAAAAAAAAAAAAAAAGAGTCCAGCCCATCCTTAATTCCAGGGAAGGAATATTTCTCAACCATGAGTTATTCATGAGCCAGATCTGGAACCCCAGGAAAGCCAAGTTGGTTCAGAGACAAAGCATGCATCTGGTGAACCTTCTTGGGTCTCCAGAACAATGTAATTTTACTGGTCTTCTTCAAGGTTTACACAATGCTCAATGTCATTAATAGAATAAAGGAGAAAAGCTGAGTAATCGCTGACCTGTGTACATTTTTAATCCACAGAGGGTGTCAGTGTACCTACTAGGGGACAAGAATATGATCACCAGCTATTTTGCAATGCTGGCTAAATGTTGCTTGAACATCATCAACTGTTATCATCATGCTTGAAATAAGTAATTAACAAACAATAGGAAGATGTACAATATCTCCTAAACACTTTAAAATAGCCAAATATCTTTCTGATTCTATCCAAAAAGCTCTACCATTATCCCATCTTTATAGATGTTCTACCCTGGAGATTCTATTTGCTAGAGCTTTCAATGCTGGGAGCTTATATTTTGATAAACTCTTTGATCTTTTCTGTTTTTAAGGTAACATATAATCAGAAGGCTTAATGATGTTGAATCTCTTTGAATCAGTAATTCTACTTCCAGGAACTTATTCCAAAGAAACAAATCAGACCTGTGCAGAGATTTCTGTAAAATGATGTTCAGAATAGTGTTCTTTGTAAGAACATAATATGCCACAACCTAAATATTCAGCATTAAGAAATGTTACATAATAGAATTTTACAAAGAAAACCAAATGACAAGAACATAGTCACGATATTATATTAAGTGAAAAAGGGATTCACTACAGCATGTACAGTATGGTCTCAATTTTATTTTTTAAGTGCATAGAAAAATACTGAAAGTAAACATACCAAAATGTTTCAGTGATAGAAATATGGGTGTGGATTTTTTTTCTCTTCCCATGTCTCTGTATTTTCCTAAATTTCTATAAAGAATAAATATTGGCCGGGCGTGGTGGCTCACGCCTGTAATCCCAGCACTTTGGAGGCTGAGGTGGGCAGATCACTTGAGGGCAGGAGTTTGAGACCAGCCTGGCCAACAAGGCAAAACCCCGTCTCTACTAAAAATACAAAAACCAGCCAGGCATGGTGGCACTCGCCTGTAATCTCAGCTACTTGGGAGGCTGAGGCAGGAGAATCGCTTGAACCCACAAGGCAGAGGTTGCAGTGAGCCGAGATTGCACCACTGTACTCCAGCCTGGGCCACAGAGTGAGACTCTATCTCCAAAAAAAAAAAGAATATTACCTTTATAATAATAACATATATGTAACAGTATATATGCATACTCACACTTTTACCTTTTTTCAAGAAATCCTATTCCACAGTCTCTATGCTAAGGAAACAGTATAAAGTATGCACAAAGATTTATAAAAAACTGTATATAACTTTTTATATACATATTTACATATTTATAAGAGAAAATATACGTAACCTAAAAATTTCAACAATTGAATGACAAATTATGTTTTAACTTTATGATATAATATTACACAGTTACTAAAAATGATCGCTTGGAATATTTTTAAGATAAATCATCACAATAGAGTGCTGATGACTTAGACGCTGTTAAGGAAAGCAGCAAAATGCAACGTGTGATCTTGGCTACATAAAAACGTAAGTGCACAGGAAAAGAAGGCAAAGATGCTAAATTGTTAACCGTTGTGATTTATGCATGGTGAAATTGTGGTGACTGAAAAACAAAAAAATTTAAGAAACAAAATAGGCTGGGCGCGGTGGCTCCTGCCTATAATCCTGGCACTTTGGGGAGGCTGAGGGGGGAGGATCACTTGAGGTCAGGAATTTGAGACCGGCCTGGCCAACATGGTGAGACCCCGTCTCTACTCATAAAAATACAAAAATTAGCCCGGCATGGTGGCACGTGTTTGTAGTCCCAGCTACTCAAGAGGCTGAGGCAGGAGAATCCCTTGAACCTGGGAGGCGGAGGTTGCAGTGAGCTGAGATCGCACCATTGCACTTCAGCCTGGGCAACAAGAGCAAAATACCATCTCAAAAAAAAAAAAAAAAGAAAGAAAGAAAATAAAAATAGAAATTCCATAATGAGCATATGTTTCTTTTAAAATTGGAAAAGTAAGCATAAAAATAATAAAATACATATTTTATCAATAAAAATATGAAATTGCCAACAGAGGGAAAGGGAAGGAAAAACTTCCTATAATTAAAACACTAATCTAAAACAACCACTTATTAACCCCCATCTGCCCTTACAGTTGTGTGTGTGAATGTGTGTGTGTTAGTGGATGTGCGCTGGCACCACTGCCTACGTCCATGGGGATAAGTGGCTGACCTTAAGGCCACCTACTAAATTAGGGCTTGTATGCAGGGCTACATCTAGTGAAAATGTTTAGGAATTTGGGAAAGCCAAGGATACCTCTTAAATCCAGTTTGAACAAGTGCTTTAAGCTCTCCTAAGAAAAGCTGGAAGATGAGTTCAAGGTATATTTTAAATTCTGTTTGGGAACCACCAAATCAAGAGAAAGTCAGGCTTAGACACCAACTGTATCTGTACTAAAATTTAGGAGTGCCCTCTTTGCTTAGACCAATTCCATTTTATGTGAGAAATCCAGAATTTTCCTTCCCATTGGTTCAAATAAAATTCCTGGCTGAGAGGCAAGAAGTGTATGAGTTTCAGCTAAACGCTTGGGGTCTCTTCTACACAGTTTACCTAAAATAAGCTACTGCCGGTGGGAGGCAATTAAGTCCACCGGAGAGGGGGCTTGAGGGGGCTCCCAAAGTTTCCTTGAGGTTAAAATGCCAGCTTGACTATAGTTTGGAGAAACTTTGGGCAAATTGAAATTGTTCTTCAAGATGGATCTGTGTAATAAGGGGCCCTCCCTCAGCCCAGGAAGGAAGCAGAGGATTTGATGTGCTGATAACGATATCTTCCTGAGCTGCGCTTGAGGACAAGGGAAGGGCAGGTGGCGAGGTGAGAGGCAGTCAGAGGCAGCACAGAAGCTACTAGACTGGGAAGGAATGAAGCCCCCAGCAAGTCTACGCCCTGTGTGAATGAGGGCCTGTCTTCATATCCTCTGAGGACTACTTCAGGACTCAGGCCTGCAAGATCATTTCAGGACATTCACTAGACACCCAGGAATAGCTCTTGGCTACAGTCACAACATTCGCCACCCAAACTCATCCCTTTCCCTAACAGTACCATCCTTTCTATCCAACGTGGGAGACCGGGCCTACTTAGAGAAAATGCTGATCCTATAAAAATTGGCTTCATGAGACTGCCAAGATAAAAGGATTCTCAGTGCAGGACGGGGAGAGAGGAAGGGCCAATCCATCATCCAGGCTCATTAAGCAACTATTTGTAGGACACTGTGCCCAGCGTCTTAGAAACAAAGAGCAGCCTAAGACACAGCCCCTGGCTCAGCAGAGAGATGAACACATAACCTCTTGGAGAGAGAGGCGTCAGGCCCAACACAGGCCCCTTGAGAGGAGGCCGGGATGTATGGCCCTAGTATGCAACGTGTTGGCTGGGAAAGTGAAGAAAGCTTGTTCTCTCCCTGACCAGGCTACAGACTCACTGTTGTGACCAGGGGGCTTATGGGGCCCAGGAGGAAATCCCCATGGGAATAATTCCAGCCCTCTGCAGGGTAGTGTAGGAGGGAAGGTGCTGGATCCTCATACAGAGTAGATTTGCTCTGAACAAGGTGAACAATGACTCACATAGAGGCAGAATGTGCAGACACGGGCCCAGTGCCACTCAGAGAAACACATTACTTGTGCTTTTGAGACCCGTGGCCCTAACTGCCTGTTCTACATCCCATTCCTGTGATTTTTGTCAAGGAGAGAGGC
The DNA here is from genome assembly GCF_000001405.40 of Homo sapiens. Taxonomy (NCBI): domain Eukaryota; kingdom Metazoa; phylum Chordata; class Mammalia; order Primates; family Hominidae; genus Homo; species Homo sapiens. The sequence goes on along the minus strand of NC_000002.12, from coordinate 30,239,666 downwards.
GGGTGGGGGGAGTAGGGATAGGAGAAAAGAAAGTTGTTGCAATCCCAGGAACATGTGTCCGCGGCTGGATGCCTCCTGCCAAATGTTCTGGAATTTTTAGCTCTATGTCTCTCCAGGGACTACTGAGGCCTTTTAAGTCTGACATTGTGAAAGATGTTTCCTGGTGACCATGGGACTTGCGTGCAGCTGCTCAGCAGCGCCTCCCAAACTCTTGAGGACATGTGGGGAACTACAGCTGGGAGTAAGCAATGAGACAGGGGTAATGAGGAGGAGGCGGATAGAGTGGATGCGTTATGCCCAGAATGGCCTCGTGAGCTGGTGGGGGACAGAGGCCACGGACCAGAAACCTTCCTAAGGGCTTAACCCGTCACCTGTTTCCACACACGCATTCCACCCAGGTGGAACCGGCAGAGTGAAGCCAGGCTCAGGAGGTCTCCATCAAGAGAGGCTCAGCAGAGATGTGAGCAAAGAGAAGGGGTTTCCGAGCTACCGCCTAACTTCGGTGATGAAACAAACTGAGCCTGTTCTTTGAGAGATGAGTTGCTGCTTCTGACAAGGAGTGGGAAGGGCCAACGTGGAGAGACCCCGTCTCTACTAAAAATACAAAAAATTAGCTGGGCGTGGTGGCACACTCCTGTAGTCCCAGCTACTCGGGAGGCTGAAGCAGGAGAATCGCTTGAACCCGGGAAGTGGAGGTTGCAGTGAGAAGAGATCGCGCCACTGCACTCCAGCCTGGGCGACACAGCGAGACTTCATCTCAAAAAAAAAAAAAAAAAAAAAAGAGTGGGGAGGAGTGAGAGAAAGAAGGTGGCTATTTGGGACCTGAGAGACAAAGGGGCAAGAGATCTTGTGCCGGGAAAGGCTGGTCGTCCACCCACAATGGTCCTTCAGACCACCTCTCAATGCAGGGCCATAGCTGAGGCTCTCCAACTGCACGAGGCAAATACTAAGGCTGAGGCAAGAAAAGTCAGCCCGCTAGCCTGCTCTTCCCTACCATAGAAAGCACTAGGACATCACTCCCTCCCACCTGGGGAATGAAGGGGAAGATGCAGGAAGCTCTCAGCTCTGTTTATCAAAGGGAATGTGTGGTGCACACAAGCACTGTGGTGTGTGAAGAAATCGCTCCTCCTGGCTTCCTCCCTCCCAGAGCATCCTCCCTCGCTTGCCTGACTGACAGATGGATGTCAAATGGTGGGGACATGACCAAGAATAAAAGCAGAAAGAATACAAGGGGCAGCCAGGAAGGGACGTGTGCTGATTAGAGAAATTTAAAGAGCCTGGAGAAGGATGATGTGTTCAGACCTTGGTCCAGGTGCTTTAGAAGGAAGTTTTAAATGAAAACCAAGGAGCCACATCTGTATCTGGACCTTAGCTGGGGTGATGAAACTGTAGACGCCTCGGCTGCTGTGCTGAGGAAGTTAGAGTAGCAAGGCCAGGGTCCCAGTGCCGTTGGGTGGAGGCAGTGTCGGTGCCCACAGGCAAATTCCCAAGACCCTTCCCCAGACAGAGCCCAGGCCAAGTCGGGCACAGCATCGAAGGAGACCCAGTCGCAGAGGCATTCCCTAACACCATATTTTTAGAGTCCCTGGAGCCAAAGAAGCAGCTGCTGACTTGCTTCCTTGAATTAGGGTAAGGAAGAAGGCACTGGGCAGCAGAAATTCCTGTTCCACAGGCTGGATGGAAGTGGGGAGGGAGCTGCTGCCATCAGGGACATCAACATCCTGCTGGAGACCCTCCCCACTCAGCTGGTGAGCTGGCCGCCACCCACAGCCTGCCTGCCCAAAATGTACTCAGACTTTCTAGCAACCATTTACTCACCCACCCCACAGGGTGTCACAATTCATGTTAAGTGAATGTGCACACGTGGATTTCCCTTACTGAACTGCCTCTCCAAATGAATGTTACTACAAAACAAGGCACTGGCTCACAACACAGCCCTAACTGCCCCAGGACCAGTAGCTGGGGCTTCCTTGAATCTTTCAGGGGATTAAAAGGGCATCTATCTGAAACCTTGGTAGGCATGAGCGTGAGGAGGCCCTTTCCAGAAGCTAAGGCAGAAGAGAAGGTGACCAGCTTTAGAATCAGGAGACTCAACTTCATGGAAACAACCACCACCCACTTTTAGCACTTAGGCACCTTGGGTGGGGGCAGGGTACAAAGATGAAGATAAGTCCTCCCTTGCCTTCAAGGACCTGGGCAAAGAGAAGGTAAAACAGGACCCGTATCCTCGAAGCGGCATCATTGGCAAGTACAAAATGCCACAGGCATTAAAAGAAACGTCACAGCTGGTACAGAGAAATCAGGAAAGCTTCACTCTCGATAGATCTGCAAGGCAGTGAAGTGACTGACAAAGTCCAATGTGCCATTTACTTGATGACTTTCTTTCAAGGTCAAATCACAAGCCTGAGATCCTATTTCATCTGCCAAGTCTGGATTGATGTCTCCTTCCCACTCTCAGTTCCTTAGAAAAGCAGGTCTCAGTAAAAGCCACGTACTATTATTATCCTTAGGAGGAATGCCAAGAACAGAGCTCCGAGATCCCCTGCCCCCAGGCCTGAGCCGAGCCTGAGCATGCAAAGGGAAGGGGCTCCAGCCAAGTGCCAGTCCCAGCCAATCCCCAGAGCTCTGGTGGGAATGTGTCTAATTGGACGGCACTAGCTTTGAGTGGGCCCGGAGAATATCTGTCACACCGCAATGGTCAGACCAGCTCACTGCACAGCCCTGCCCCTGGCATAAACAGGGGCAAGCCCAGGGGTATCTGAAGGTGCAAGAACATTACCTTAGAGATGGAACTGCCCTCTCAAAGTCCTAATTTTCTTTCAGAGCCCAGCCCCAGTCTGCCCTCCCTCTGATTCTGTCGGCTGGATTTCATTGTTGCTGTCGATGCCTGGACTCACTGTAGCTTCTGTATGTCCCCCACCTGGACTGACTGCACCACCTGTGTTCCAGATGTTTATGTAGATGCTGGGTTCTTACAAGGGCCCTGGACCCTGGGCACAGAGGCCAGCACAGCAGGTTGCACAGGGAAAGTGCCCCTAAATGTTGCTTGGTTAAATACTACAATCTCCCTTTCCTCTTCACCAGGCAACCAAGAGACCTTTCTGAAATCAGAAAAGCTGTGAAAAATTGTGACCAGAGTGCTCTGAAGTTCCAAGTAAGATATTTTGGAACTGGGGAGTGGTCCCCACCAAGGTAGCAGAAACAGATTTCCTGGGAGGGGGCTCTGAGAACTGGGCCCTCAGTCCAGCACCACAAGGGAAGATGTGTGGATCCTTTGCTCAGGCAGTGCTGAGATGTGTCAGGCACCCAGAGGTGATTTTATTTTCCTGCTGCCCTTGCAGCCCCAGGTTGGCCTTCCTCCCCCAGCTCCTTCCTCCCTCACCACCTGCCCTGAGTCTCAGGTCCAGCAGAATGGCCTGAAGGACTCGAAGCATTGAGAAAACGGCCCTATAGGGCCTGGCCCTTTATCCTGGGATGTATTTAAAAGGAAAATATGAAAAGCACACACAAGATGAACAGATGACTGCATTTGGAAAGGTTCTGTGATGGAAATCTAAAACCCAGAACCGAAAGAGAACCTCACCTGTAACCACAAAGAGATTCATTCTGACTCAGGGGCTTGGAAACTGCTACCCAAAACCCCCTGGCTGGTGGGCCAGGAAACTTCTACCCCTCCCACCAGGTTGAGGGGCCCTCAATTGTCTTCCTCAGACCCACTCTGGGGGAGGAGGGTAGAAAAGTCAAACGTAGCAAAGAGAGTTCCCCCTTGCTCCACACACCCCCTTCAAGCTAATGGCTACTTATTTCAAGACAGGCCTGCCAATATAGACAACACAAAGGGGCCTCCTTAGCCTCCCAAGCATGTCTGAAGTTAAGTGACCCTGCCTGAACTTTTAGCTTGGTTCTATCTGATTACTTTCCCTCCATGGCACCCACCCTGGCTCCCTGGCTTTCTATTTGATTTTTTTTTTTTTTTAATTTACAAAATAAATGTCCCTGGAACAGTTCTAAGGAATGACCAGCCAGAGTCAACCTAGACCCTAGCGGAACCAAGCCATGGTGTGGACACACAATACATCAGAAGAACAAGGCTCTGGGGTTAGACAGACCCAAGTCACTGACTCAGGCTGAGCCATTTCCTCATCTGTGAACAGGGTGAGGATCCCCGCCTGGGAGCTGTGGTAAGATGTGAGCAAGGCAGCGTCTGTAGAGTGCTTGGCGTGCAGTGGGCATACCTTCATGTCTGTAGCACGGACCCATGGACCCATCACACTCCCTTTCGACTTCCCTGGGCTGGCCATCCTACACAACTTCCCTAGCTCCAAGGTCTTCCTTAAGAAGAGACTCCTCCCTCCCCCCAGTTTAACAACATAGGAACTCTCCTCCAAAACCCCAAACCAGCTCACAGCCCAGAGGGAACTGCAGGTGCTCCATTGCTCCCACCCCCAACCCAGGGGCAGTAGAGAGGCAGCAGGGCAAGCCAGAGAGAGGGCTGGGGTAAGAGTCCAGAGGGCTCACTCTGGTCCCTTTTTGTGATCCTTGTGCATTTTGGATCCACCAGACAGGATGATCTCCAAGCAAGATCCCAGCAATAGCATCCCTGAGCTAGCCTCCCTTTGGGGAAAATATCTTCCTCTCTAAGTGGTTTGAATGTTAACTCTGAATCAACAGGTCAATAATCAACCCAAGGAAGAAAGCAGCATTGGACATGGCTATCCCCACCAGACCACCCTTCTGCAGAAGCCCCCGACAGCAATGCTTCTACTACCCCAGGCATGGCTGGGAAGGAAAGTTCTGGTCTCAATCGACTAAACAAATCATTTCCTCCTTTGCTGCGGTGAATGGCAAAGTTCACAGAGCCAGTAGGGTCAATTCATCACAATGGCTAATGCTTGCTGAGCCCTTATCTGTCCCAGACACTAGGAATGCTTCCTACACATCCACTTGTCATGGTGAATCTTTACCACAATCTTAGGAGATAAGGACGATTGTTGCCCCATTTTACAGATGAAGAAACTGAGGCTTACTGGCATTAGGGGACTCTGCCACAGTCCCACAGCTCTTATATGTGGCACTGGGATGCAAAACCAAGTCTGTCCTCACCCCCAGCAAAAACCACTAGGCTCTAGAGAGTCAGAGGGGAGCCAGGACTTACTCACCTGGTAGGAAAGGCCATCCTTGCGGGGGCTGAGGCCGATCTCCTCCATGGGCTGGGTGTTCATCATCACCTCAGTCATCTTGGCCGATCTCAGATAGTCGGGGCTGCCAAGAAACCCAGACCAAAAGTCAACAAACACACGCGCTTTCACATTCCTAACTCTTCATGCATTCACTGCTGTGGGATCAGGGGACTGTCTGGAGACAGGAAGAGAGGTGTTCAAAACAGAACTTGCAGCAAAACAAGCTCACACCCTGAGGAAGCGCCTTGCAAGCCCACAGCCCCAGGGCTCAGCCGCAACAGACAAAGCCCATTGTCTGCAGACCTCTCTGGCAAACCTCTTCCCTCCTCTCCTGTACTCTAGTCCCCACTGGCACAGAGGGACCCTGAATGTTTCTTTAAATGACAGAACCAGAGAAACCAAAACAGTAGGTAGCTGAGTCCATCTGTCTATATTAAAACCAATTCAACCACATCTCCCTTCACTTCTCCAACTAAGAATAAAAATAATCCTCACATGAACTTTCCAAAGGGGAACTCTATATATTATTAATACACAATAACAATAACAGGTCAACTGGAGGGAAACAAAGTCCAATCATACAGCTTTCCTAAATTTGTCTCTCTGGTGCTCCTTTTGGCAAAATGTTCCACTTAAAGCCCCAAGGGGTCAGCTTTTCTGCAAGTTTCACATCTGCCATCCATCCCCTTTCTCTAGCCCCAGACACAGCAGCTGCATGCTCACAGCTTGAAAAACATCCCCTGGATTAAAAGCCTTAAGGATACCCGACTCTGACTGCAAAGGAAATTTCCAGAGGGGCCAAGCTGGCCCACCAATGGCTGACATGTGAAAGTGCCTTGTACTCTCTAAGCAGGATACGAATATTCCCTTATCCTTGCACAAACTCTGGGCACATACAGGATCCCGTGCACATAATGCTGAACATAAGCACCAAATACAGGTACCTGCTACACAGCACCCAATGCTTTCCACCATCGTGCCTGTGCACATGGTTTAAAACAAAAATATGGGGGAGTCTTTTGAGGGACAGTATCTAAGGAAACAGGGGTACCAGATGCCTCTTCAATTGTATGGTTACTACATAGATAAGAAATGACACTGGATTTAGAAACAGAAGCAATAGGTTCTAGGCTCTGCCCCTCAAGAACTGTGTGATCTTGAACAGGTCCTGTAACTTCTCTGAGCCACAAGTGTCCTGTTTGTCTGTTACTCTGATGCTAATAGTGCATACCTCACAGTTAGGTTAAGGGCTAATGTCTGCATAAAAGCATTGCAAGCTGCAAAGTGCTAATCGATGAAATAAACTTAAACCTTAATTTCTCATAATATTCTTAATGGGTCCAAACACCCACCTTGGCAAATTTTGAGCAGCCAAAGGCACAAAGCCTCCAACAGCCTTCAAAGCTTCACCTATAATAAGGCACCTAGCTGCTCACACACCACGGGAGAGGCAAGGGAGGGGCACCCACAAGAAGGGTACACAAGCCTCGGGGTGGGGGAACTTGAACTGTTGAGAGAGGGAAGTTCAGTCCCCTCTCTAAACACTGCCAGGCTGGGACGGATGGGGGCAGGGAGACTAACAGAAGATGCGGGGCTTTGCGGCAAGTTTAGGTTCGGGAGCTGGGCCCTGCAAAGGCAGTTTCCTCCCGGGTCTTGGAAAGGCTGCTGGCGACCTCCAAAGAAAGGAGCCAGAAGAGCGCACGCAGGGTGAAGAGTCTGACGTAGGGGCGGCTCTTCCTCGCTCGGGGCTGTGGCGCCGGCCCGAAAAGTTGAAGCGAGAAGCATGAACTTTCCGCTTCTTGGGCCAGGCCGGACCCCGCCGCGGCTTGCGCCGGTTTTCCCTTCGCTCAGCGCCTGCCGGAGACTCGGGGCCGAGCTCCCCACGTCCGCACCTGAGAGCGCGCTCCGGGGCTGCCGGCGCTCGCCCCCGGCCGCTTCTCCTCTAACCCAGAGCAGGAAGGAAGAAACTGCCAGCAAGGAAGTCCCAGCAGTCAGGGGCCTGCCTCTCTCTGCATCCCTCCCGGCTCCGATCCCCAGTCCGGGGCAAACCTCCGACGCCCCGCGCCCGGCCCGGGCTCCTTCCCCTTCAGCACGGCGAAGGCGGCTCCTCCCAGTCCCGGCCCCCACCAATGTGCGTCGGTTTTTAGGGGCGGTGGAGAGGGCAGGGGTTGAGAGGCTGCAGCGCGTGCCCTGCTGCTTGTGGCTTTAGTGGGGTTACGTGTGGGGAGAGCGTTTCCCGCCCCCCACCCCCCCGGAGCTCTGCAAACCCTGCGGCCGCACCAGCTCAGCCCCGCTGCTGCCGGCCTCGACGTTGAGACTTGCATGCAAACAAAAAGAAAAAGAGGAGGGGCCCGGGAAGAGCAGGAGCCCCCCTGCGCCAAGTGGGGCGCGCGCCTCCTGCAGCTCTCCGCATAGGGTGGTTTCATTGGGGGGGATTCACACGTGACCCCTGGCTCCCCCGCCAACCAATACAAACCCTCCGGCCGTCACTTAGGTGAGGGCTCCGAGTTCACGTCCTTTGTCTGGATGTTCTCAGCACCCCCTCCCCCCACCCCCACCTTTGCAACCTTGACGTTGACTCCTGCACGGGCTCGGGCGGCGGGTTAGCGCTGAGCGCCCGCGCCGCCGGCTGCCCTCGCACCCGGAGCCGGCACGAAGCAGGCGCCCGGGCCCGCAGCCACCGCCGCGAGACAGACGCCCGCCGCAGGCGCAGGGTACTCACCAGTGAATGGGGAAATATATAGACATGAAGTCCTAGGGCAGGCTGACACACGCCCCTGTGATTTAAAAACGGTCCCTGCGTCCCGAGTGAGGATGACACGGGCGCAGACGGGCACGGCAGGCGGCCGAGTGCGGACACCGGGCGCTCGCCGTCCGCCTTCCCAGGACAGCCCCACGGCTAGCGACGTCGGCAAGGTGGACACAACTCCCCGCTCTCCACTGAGCACTCAGCCCCACAAAGAGCCCGGGAAGCCGTATTTATAGGGGCGGGGGCGGGGCTTGGCCCCGAGAGGCCCCGCCCTCCCTCGCCCACTCCTGGAATAACGTCACCAAAATCATGAATGGCTTCAGCGCTCGCAGCTCCGGCGGGCGGCGGCTCGGGGGCGCGCTCGGCTCTGCTCCCGGGGCCGTGGTTCGCTGCGGCTGCGAGCCCGGCCCCCTCCCGCCGCTCTCCCACGCGCACACGCGCTCACTCGCACCGGCCCGGACTCCGCGTCCGCGCCGCTTCCCGCTCACAGCCCCCTCCACGCACACCCCGAACTCCAGCGCGGCGGAGGTGGGCGCAAGGAGGGCGCGGGGGCCGCTCGGGACATGACAGCTCGGCGGCTGCTCTGCGCCGGGGTAGGGCACCCGCCACTCCTCCACCCCAGCCGCCCGGCGCCAGCGCCCTCCTTCCCATCCACTGGCTGTCCCCAGCCCACCTCGGACCCCTCTGAAGCGTTTGTTCCCCATACTAGGCCTCTCTCTGGAATCCTCGCCCGCAGCCTTGCGATCAGCGAGGGGAAACAAGAGCATGGTTAAAGAAGAAGCGGTGGGAAGGTGGCAGAGACGCGGAGCCGGGGGACCGAGTGCCCACGGGGCGCGTTGGCTTGCGAAGGGCTGGTCTGCAGCCCTGAGTTCCGTGGAAGGTTTTATTTGTGGGAGCAAGGATGTGGTGTCGTCCTGGGTAGGATTTTTCCATTGGAGACACACATACGCCCGGTCTGCAGCGGGGGCAGAAGGTGTGGGCGGGCGGTGTGCACGCCGCCCCCCATCCTTGACTCCCACGTCTTCTCCGAGGAGTCGCTCATGACAGCAGAAACAAAGAGCTTTAGCCGAACGCCTCCCACACTGCCCAGGAATTGCAGCTCTGGGCGTCTGTCCAGGCAGTCAAAGCTGCGCAGCCCCCCAGAGCCACATGATGGGAGTCTCACTCGGGACCCAGCGCTGCCGCTCTGTGGCCTCCGCTTCAATCACGCCTGTAAAATGGCTTTAGAACCCTCACCTACCTGTGTATAGGGGCTGAGGAAAGGGGGCGCGGGGAGATCAAAAACTAAGCAAAATTAAATTGGCTTTGAAGTGAATCAGCTTTTTAAAAGAAAGGCAGTGAGTGTATTGAATCCGTATATATGTACTTGAAAGTGGAAACGCATAGCTTATCTCAGGCAAAAGGATGACAGAATTAATGGCGAAGGTTCGACAGGGGTAGGACCCTGAAGGAAGCCGTGAGAGAAGACCCTCATAATTTTCATCAGTCCCCGCAAAACCAGCCCAAACAAAAATTATAAGAATTGATGAGAATAATTTATTTAAAAATAACTGGGCTATTTTCAATCACTTATATGCTTATATGTACAACCTGAGTTAAAATAGTGTGCTTCCTATGAAAACACAGCTTCATGACAAGCCCCTGGCTGCCCCCTCCAACCAGAGAAATTCCCCCACCTCCCAAGCTAAACGCATTCTCTTCCTCTGGGGGTGTTGCCTGATGGAGGGGCTAAACGGGAGATGCTGCAGGGATGGGGTTATTGTTGATGTCCTGCACAGAGGGTGGGGAAGCTTCTCAGTGTCACTAGCCAGGTGTGGCACATTGTCATCTAGGCAGCCACAGGAGACGCCAATGCTTGGAGAGCTAGTTTCCAGGCTGAGACTTCCAGGCACTCAGAGGAAAATGTCTGGGCTAGACCCCGGGTGGGCAGGATGAAGCCTTCTGCCACTTCTTCCCAGTAGCAATCTCTGGTGAGGCTGGGATCAAAGACTGTTGCGCCACTTTTACACATAACAGACACACTTTATGTGTTTGTGATTATTGCCATGTGAAGCTTTCAAAACTCAGAAAGCTATTTCCCTCCCTCCCCATTTTCCCAAATATCTAAATGTCAAAATGGCCTCATTTTGGAGAAGAGGGTGGGGAGTAAGGCCTCCACCAGCTGTTATCTGGCCTCTGGAAAAATCCTCTACATTGGAGTGCATTGAGGGAATTACCTGAGGCCTACTCTTTGGGAAACTTATTAATGCCCATTTTAGCTAAAGTTCATCTCTGTCAGTAAGTTAAAATAGAAATAAGCCTGGGGTTGTGATCCCCAGTCTGCATTTTCTGTTTCTCCTCTGGAATCACAGTGACACATCCATTCATTTGAAAATATGGGAGGTGGCTGGGTGCGGTGGCTCACGCCTGGTAATCCCAGCACTTTGGGAGGCTGAGGCAGGTGGATCACCTGAGGTCAGGAGCTCAAGACCAATCTGACCAACACGGTGAAACCCCGTCTCTACTAAAAATACAAAAATTAGCTGGGCGTGGTAGTGGGTGCCTATAATCCCAGCTACTTGGGAGTCTGAGGCAGGAGAATCGCTTGAACCTGGGAGGCAGAGGTTGCAGTAGGCCGAAATTGTGCACTCCAGCCTGGGCAACAAAAGTGTGACTCCGTCTCAAAAAAATAAAATAAAATAAAATAAAATAAATAAAATAAAATATGGGAGGCGTGGGGCTAAGCTTTGATGCAACCATAACTAGCATGCCATTTCTCAGTTATACTAGTCTATATGATGCCTTGCAGGTTTTTTTTTTTTTTTTGAAGCATTTCATTGTCTTGGCTTTCAAAAGAATGTGATAAGGTTAACATAGCACAACTTATGGTCCTCAGTTCACAGATATGTAAACTGAGGCCGAAATAAATTAGGAGGCTTGCCAAAGATCACACAGCCGGAAAGTGGTTGAGCTGGGCCTGGAACTCAGAGGTTGTAGGCATACTCAGCTTCCCCTTCTGTTAACATAGCTCTGGCTGACTGCCTTTCCTTCATATCTCTAAAGATACAGAGTATTTCAACATGCACACTGACCATTTCTTCCCAATATCCTATGAGATAGGTTTCTGTCCCTACTGCCTTTGAATAAATGAAGAAACAGAAACACAAGCGAATGAAGTTACTTAGAGCCCCAGAACCTTAGAGCTGAACGAGACCTTCCAAATCACCTTGTCCCAGTCTCCTCGTTTTACAGGTGAGAAGACACCTAAGAGATTAAATGGCATGTCCAAGGTCACCAGGCTATTAAGTGGTATAGATGGAACCTAACGCAGGTCTTCAGACTGCTGGTCAGATGTTCTTTCCACTTTAACACTGCGTCTTGCACTGCATTTGCCAAGAAGTCAGCAGCAAAGGTCAAACACAACGTCTGGACTCTGTAAACCACCACAGTCCATCACCAACATTTATTGAACATCTACTAGATGCAGATCAGTGAACTAATTACCCAGTCAGAGCCTCTGCACTCCCTCCCTTCTCCCGTCTTTGTCTTTGGAGACTAAAGAGTTGAATTGCAATTCTGCTTCAATAGAATCCAGGTGTAATCAGAATTGCCTTGCTTTCTGACATTACATACATCCATTTTGCCAGCACCTTCTCTTACCTACCTAAAATACAAATTAAAAAAAAAATAAAGGTAATGAGCTTAAGATATTATTAGAGTTATCTCAGCTGCAAGGATGCTGTGTATGCAGGACAGGTAGCGAGTTCATTCATCTAGTTAAAAAAAAAGTCTCCATATAAATTCATTTAGCAGCCGGGTGCAGTGGGTCATACCTATAATCTCAGCACTTCAGGGGGCTGAGGCAGAAGGATTGCTTGAGCTCAGGAGTTTGAGACCAGCCTGGGCAACACGGTGCAACCCTGACTCTACAAAAACTAAAAAATTAGCCGGGCATGGCAGCGCACACTTGTAGTCCCAGCTTCTCAGGAGGCTGAGGTGGGAGGATCGCTTGAGCCCCCGGAGGCAGAGGTTGTAGTGAGCCATGATCACGTCACTGCACTCCAGCCTGGGCAACAGAGCAAGACCCTGTCTCAAAGAAAAAGATCATTAAGCAACACATTCCCACTTCTTATCTCCCTCTGGCTTGCAAAAAGACAGTATTGCATTTATTTTGCCTAATGATGGTGAAGCTGGTATTTTGGTTACTAATAAGGGACCTTACAAAGTAGCTATTTGACCCTGGGGAGGAAAATAGAAGAAGGGAAGGGGCCACACTTGCTGAGATACCCTGGTATTTCTTACTACACTTATGCCTGACAACAATCTTAGACAGAGGCAGATTGCCCCCACTTCATAGACAAAGAAACAGAAGCTCTGATAAGTTAACTACCTTGGCCGTGGCCACGTGGCTCTCAAATGGCTGAACCAAAATGTGACTCTGGGCAGGGTGCGGTGGCTCATGCCTATAATCCCAGCAGTTTGGGAGGCCTAGGTGGGCAGATCACTTGAGGTCAGGAGTTCGAGACCAGCCTGGCCAACATGGTAAAACGCCACCTCTACTAAAAATACAGAAATTAGCCAGGCGTTGTAGTGGGTGTCTGTAACCCCAACTACTTGGGAGGCTGAGAGGCAGAAGAATCGCTTGAACCCAGGAGACGGAGGTTGCAGTGAGCCGAGATCGCGCCACTACATTCCAGCCTGGGGGACAGAGTGAGATTCCATCTAAAAAAAAAAAAAAAAAACCCAAAATGTGACTCTGAGGCTTGCTGTTTCCAGAGCTGATGTTTTCCCCACCATACCACACTTACCATGCCTCTGTGGTTTTGTTTGTTTTCACAGCTACACTATGAACTGAATACAAAACCTCTGGTTCCAATAGCAAAGACCACTGGGATCCATCCAGGAGGGCAGGGCTGGCAGGATAAACAATTTTCTCACCCTGGGAATCTGGGAGCTTCTTAAAGATAGTCAAAGGCTTGGGGTTAAAAAAAGACAGTGAGTAGGAGAAGGGAAGTTTCTAGCCAATTTTTCGGTGAAACTCATTTGCGTACATAAGAAATCTAAAAGGCAAGAATGTGTGTGGGTTGAAGTGAGAATGAAATGAGATAATGTTATGAAAACACTTGGTAAATTGGAAAGCACTGAGCAGACGTAGGGCTTGTTTTTAAGGTATTTGAGAAAAAGAGGGGGTTTAGCAGAGCTGATTTCATCTGCTTCAGTTTTTTACTTATTGCCATCACAAACTGCCCCATTTTCCTCCTGGAGTCCCTTGACTGACATGTCTAGCTTTTAGGGAGCAGACATTAGAGGCAAGTAGCGACGCTCTGCCTGGTGGCCACTCTTGCAGTCACAGAGTCCAAGCATCTTCTCTCGCCGCCATGAGTTCCTCTGTCTTTGGTGCCTCCCAGGAAGTGTCCAGCTGGGTACTGGCCACGCAGAGAATGAATGAGGCCCGAGAATGTGAACCTCCTATCTTGGTCATCAGTGAATTAGCAGTCAACAACACAAAGCAACCCGAACCCACCAGACAAAATCCTCCAGCCTTTGACTTACTTTGCTGTAAGTTCTCAGGCAAGTGGGTTGACCTCTCTGGGTCTCAGACATAGAAAGCAATAAAAGCAGGCAATAGAAGTCTCTCTTTTAGGCCTCAGGGTCTAGTAAGGCTGAGATAAGTTGCTTCTATGAAGGGTCAAGAGAAAAGTGCTTTACGTCCTTACCATACCACTGGGGCTCTGCAGCCCACCCTAAAGCCAGTGGTCCCTCTTCCCATGTGGCAGCGCAGGAGGCGCCTTCATCTTTCAGTCCAGAATCCTCTCATTGCCCCCAAAAGAAGCCTGAGATCTGGCAGCTCATAAACTCTTGCCTTCCCACATATCAAAGAAATTCAGCCCTGGCTTTTTCTTTATTTCTATCGAGGGGCCTTTGAACCAAAGGGATTTTTCTGACAAAGAAAACTGTATGAAATCTTTAGGGTCCAGGCCCTAAAAGAAAACACTCCAACTGGAATCAGTTCAAGGCTCTCATGTCCAATTAAGGAAATACTCACATTCCTGTCCTAGCCCTGGCTGTATCTTGCTTTCTCTCTTTCCACATCCGCACAGGAATGCACTTCAACAGCCAGAAAAGAGAGGTTACTATCACCAGGATGCAGATCGTATAGCAGAGTCCTCCTTGGGGTAGCCTGATACCTTCCCTGAATTAGACAAACAGCACGGACCACAGCCCAGCATAAACTCCCTTCATACCACTCTGTCCACGTCTCCCACTATTTTACCCACAACTCTGGACCAGGGAAACTCCATCATACCTGGGGCGGCAGGGGAGGGAGGAGGATTTATGAAAAAGAGGGAAACACAACAGTTTCTTGTGAAGAAAAGCACTTTCAGTTTTCTTTTCAAGTACACAGGATGTCTGCTAGCTTCCTCCAGGGGCAGCTGTGTTGTTGCTCTTCCTTGGAGGAGCGAGCTGCGTGTTATGCACCAGACAGCAGCTCCTCCTGAACACTCTGCCAGCTCCCTAACTGTAACCTGAGCTAGCACTTGCTGGTTGGAGCCCCTGGTGTACTTCACACCCACATGGCGCCCAGCCTCAGGATCAGATAGCTGGGTCCATGTTACACCCTCCTGCCCTCTCAACAACAATTCTAACAGGCATTAGCACCCACTGTGTGCCAGACAGGTGCTGGCATTTCCAAAGAATCGGTTTAGGAGACGTTTAGTTTTCTCCTGTCTCCATAACTCCCTGTAACCATCCCAGATAACCACAGTCTGTGTGATGGTATTATGCCTGCAAGGTCACTGCACCTGTAAGACAAATTCCCTAAACTGCATTAATGATCCCCTCAAAGAATCACAAAACTAAGGCCGCGCACGGTGGCTCACGCCTGTAATCCCAGCACTTTGGGAGGCAGAGGTGGGCGGATCACCTGAGGTCAGGAGTTCGAGATCAGCCTGGCCAACATGGTGAAACCCCATCTCTACTAAAAATACAAAACTTAGCCAGGCGTGGTGTTGGGTGCCTGTAATCCCAGCTACTCTGGGAGGCTGAGGCAGGGAGAATCGCTTCAACCCGGGAGGCAGAGGTTGCAGTGAGCTGAGATCGCACCATTGCACTCCAGCCTGGGCAACGGAGCAAAACTGTCTCAAAAAAAAAAACAAAAACAAAAACAAACAAACACAAAACTAAGTAGAACGGTCACACATGCTAGCAAGTGCATTTTGCAGGTAAGTCTCCTAGCCTCTGCCCTTCCTATGCAAATTGCTACCCCTGAGTTTCTTTTTTAAAGAAGTGAGAGTCTACCTCTGGTGTTGGCAAGGTGTTGGGCACTGGGGTGTCTGGGAACCTAGTTGCCACTCCCTCTAATATCATACAATAACTGCTGCAGTAGACTCATGTGAGCATGGGTGGGGATATGATTAGTTCAGTCCCAGGCAAAGGCACTGGGAGAGGGGGGCTGACTGGCAGAAGGGAAGCTCTCAAGGGCAAGGAGTAGGTCTGTTTTGTGTCTTACTGTGTCACCACCACCAGAAGAGTGCCTGGAATCTAGCAGGCACTCAGGGAATATCTGTGGAAAGAATGGTAGCAGGAATAGCTAAAGGGAAGGGATGGCAACTGAGCTGGCCTCAAAGGATGGGGAGAAGCTAGAGAAGGGCGATCCTGCCAGCAGAACAACATCAGCAAAGGTGTAGGGGTCAGAAAGGGCCAGGTGTGTCCCAGGAACTAGGGGTGGGCAGCAGCATTATCTATTCCAGACCTTGGGAGAGGCACTCCCATGACTCCAAGTCTACATGCTGAAGGGAATAACTATTTGTGAGTAAAAGGCCTCATGCTCTGCGGAAGGGACTGTGCACACAATTTCTAGCAGAAAGAAAAGTCTGTTACTTCCATTAGCCAAATCAGTCCAGGTTCCTTCACCTCTATGTTATTCGAGTTAATATCAGCGTTTCTCTTCCAGCCAGGTGGGGCCTCAGCAGAAGTGTTAAGTAGGTCAAATTTCATGTATGTGAAATTTGTCTTTTGAGACTTCCCCTTTCTAACCCCTCTTGTTTCACACTTCCCTTCAATGCGCCCCAGGCACCCACTGAACTCAGGAAGCCCCACACTCCCTTCATAACAGCCTCCCAAGCTCCAAAACCACTCTTTGCTTTTCCACTGAAACTTCCATCCTGCAGCTCTCTAAGCCAAGGCAGCTGCCAGGCAAGAGAACTTGATCTGACAAATGAATTCACACTATTGTGAGAATGACATGCAGGCAGCACCTCAAAGGCCTCAGTTTCATGGTGGCACTGCAGACAGGGTAAGTGGGTGACAGGAAAGTCTCTGGTCCTGGAGGCAAATTGATGGTTGATGGTTGAAGCCCAGGGGGAAACCATGTCATGATGAGAGAGAGAGGGGGAACCACCTGGAAGGGCTGGGGTGGGTGCATCCAGTGGGCACAGTATGAGGTGACTTTCCTTGTCCATCACAGTCCTTCTGGAGGGATCTGATTGGAATTCTTGTCCCTAGATCTAATATGATCATAGCACTTGAGCTGTTTAACTCAGAAGAGGGGAAAAAAGATCTGGGCATACCATTTCTTTCCTTCCTCCCTTCCTTCCTTCTTTCCTTCCTCCCTCCCTTCCTTCCTTCCTTCCTTCCTTCCTTCCTTCCTTCCTTCCTTCCTTCCTTCCAAGGGACAGAGCTTTAGACTAAGGGGACCCGGGCACTCAGCATCCCTGCCCAGGGGTGTAAGTCCTGTGTGAGTCTGAGCAAAAGCCAGGACAAGTAATGACAGCAGAAAGACATTTCCACACGCTTGGTGAGGCCTCGGGGTAGCTTACATGCAGGGTTTCAGAGCCCAGTGAGCAGCCAGTGTGGCACGTTTTGGCCTCAGGCAGAGCCAGTGGCCCTACTGCCCCCAGCTACTGAAGATGGCGGGGCAACTGGCCACCACACCTCCCACCCTCACCAAGGGCCCTGGGTGGGTGAATTCAGAGGCACAGCCAGGTAGGAACCTTGGCTTGCACTCTCCTGAGTGAGTGCCTGGCTTTCTTGTGCATTCTCATCCAGGCCTCCTCTTAGAAAGGAGCACCAGAAAGACAGAAGGTGATGCATCTGAAGCTGTTTTCTGATCTTCTTCTTTAATGTCCATGATATTATTACTGCAAAAAGCTAGAATGTTCTGTGTGTTTGAGTCTTCCCAGGGGTAGGGGGGACCTTCCCCACTCCTAGCCACCTGATTATTTTATCTGGGATGGTTGCAGGTTGTACCAATAAAAGTGCTGACCCACTTGGCTTCCACTTCCACCCTAGAGAGGGCCCCTTCATACACCCTCACCAGCATTAGTCTCATTTTACTGCCTTCATCTCCAGGACCCTAAGCCTCCACAATGCTTAGTAATTTCTCTATTTAAAAAGAAGAAAGTAAATGGATTACACACCAGATATGATGCTGCAGGCATTCTTAATAAGAGAACCACCAATTCCTTTCACTTATTGGGGCTCAGTTTGTTTCTCTGTAAAATGGGCCTGATATTTCCTGCCCTCCGCTTATGGCGCAGTAAGTATTGTGCAACTGTAACAAGCACTCAGCTTCCTTGACACAAAATTGCAGTAGTAAATTATCCTCTATTGGGCCTACTTGAAGAACAGTAAAAAGAAGGGGTAGGGAAACCCAAATTGATGATTTCATTTTGTTGCTGATTAACAGGAAAACATAGCAAAGGCAGCAAAGCCCTTTCTTGGTTTCTGAAAAAGAGAGGCCAAGCCTGTTCTCTTAGCAGAGAATGATGCCAAATAGAATGGTTGATATTCCATCCCTCCCTCTTTCCAGCACATTTTGGAGTATTTGTGTGGGGTCTCACCTTGCTGACATCTTGGCTACACGCACACAGCTGTGGGATTCGTGTGGCCTAATGGGGAGGTCATACTAGTCCTCTTTGGACTAGAATGTATGGTGCCCCACCTTCGCAGCCTGCCTTCTGTACACAGGGAAGCGGGCATTTCCTTCAGCATTTTACAGCTATTTCTTCAACAGGAACATTAAGAAACACCTGGGTATCAAGTGCCAGCAAGTTGCCCAGCTCTTCTTTTGTTCTTGAGACCTCCACATGTCCACACAAGCACATTCACTTACATGCCAGGGGCATCTCCTCAGTTGAACAAGTGCTCTGTTTTCTGGGTCTACGCTAGGGAAATAACACTGACCTCAATCCAAACAGAAGCAGAAACTTCTCATCGAATTCACATTGTTTTACCACCTTTTGTTTGTGTTTGGGTATTTCTAACAAGCAGCAACGAACACTTCCCAATGACTTCGGGGAAACAGGTGTGACTCCAATATGTCATTCCTTCCTTCCACAGAGCAGTGACCCATATGGTGGGGAGCGCGAGCAGGAATCACAGTGACAGGACCTGCACCAGGGGTGAGCATCTTATAGTAAGGAGGGAGGGGTCCTCATGGGGTTGCTGCAGTAGCCCATGAGGGAGGTGGTGTATGCAAAGATGGAGCTTCAAAACTTAGTAACTGTTCGGATATAGGAGCAGAAGGGAAAGGAACTTGGGAGAGGCTTGGAGATCTTGAGCTTGGGTGGCTGGAAAACTGGCATCATCCGCTGGAAGAACAGAGTCAAGAGGGGGCTGTTTGGGGAGAAGAGGGTCATGTCCCTTTTCCATGTGATGAACGGCCACTGAGTAGCAGCTGTGGCCAGCGGTGCTGTCAGACCATCCACGCTGGTTGTTTCTCTAGCTCTTGGGTCCACGGTGGCTCAGGTGTTTGTTCCAAAGGTCATAGGCCAGGCAAGTCTTTGTGCTTGGGTGCTTGGCCTCTGCTGCAGATTAGGTTCTTCAGAAGCAGATGCCAAGACAGGTTTTGGGAGCAACACCTGTGCAAAGAAGAAGGAAGAAGCGGGCTTGGGTAGAAAAAGAAGTCTAACTGAAATGCAGGCTCAACAAATGTTGGCCAATTCTGTGAGGAGCTTTGGAGCTAATATTACCTGTTCAGAGTGATCTGCACAGGGACAAAGTGCCTGGGCCTTTATTCCCCTGCTGCACCCAATCCACAGCATGGGCTATCTTGGGAGGGCATGATCTTGGGGGAGGCAGCTTTCTGCAGCTGTGGCAGACTTTGAAGGAACAAACAGCTGGAGGCAGGCTGCTGGTTCCATACCCGCAGCTGGGCAGAAGGCCCTCCGTAGAAGGCGGATCTGGGTGGTACATTTCATGTCTTCCACAGACCCCAACGCTTCCAGCCCTGCTTCATTGCCTCTCTTCAGCTTGCCATGCACTGAAGAGCTCTGCAGCCATGAGAATCCTCAGGAAAAGGACAGATCCGATGCTAGCTCGTCTGCTCCACTTCGCAGGCGACAGAACTAAGGCCCACAGAGAGGAGTTGGCTTTCTGAGGTTCCCACTGTCAGTGACTGGTGAACCCAGGACCAGCACTTAGTCCCTCTTTCTCCTCAGCCTCTGCTCGACTGGAGACTATTCTGTGGCTAGAGGTCTCAGTGGGAAGACCATGGGCCTGGCCTGTGCATGGGCTATGTGCTGTGCCTCTGTCTTCAATGACGGCAGCTTTGCTGGAAACCCTAGGGACTCCCCTCCCAAAGCAAAGAGCAAAGCTGGCACAAGACCTGGGGAGAAGCCCGAATTCAGATTCCCAGAGAGGCAGGGCCCCTCGGATTCCCAAAGCAGTTTCTTTGCTCTGATTTTTGTCCTAGGTGTAAGCCAGCTCAGCAGAGGTCATTCTGGAGTCTCCCATAATTGTTCTCACTGGACCAGGCATTGGCATGGCCAGTAGCCTGCACTGGGATGTCATAGGAACCATCCCAGGAAACTCCATCCCAGAAAACTCCCTATGGTGTATGGTAGGGCTGTTGTTGGGGATGCTCTTGGTGGCCTTCCACTGTGTCTTCCAATTCTTTCTCATGAGGCCCCATGGGGAGCCTCAGCATCAGGAATAGATGTGCTTCTCTGCAGCAGCTGCCTGGTTTTTCTTATCATGGGTGCAGTGCTGTACGTGCATTTCTTTAACTTTTGCTTTGTGGGTTGGGAAGTCAGAGTTTGATTTGAAAGTGTACAGGACCTTACAGCAATAAGGTAGCAGCCACACTGGGCTTTGTCCTCTGTTATCTATTATTTTTCCTTTCCCTCTATATTCTATTTTTTAAACTTTGTTCTATTTTATGTGGTTTTTGTAAACTCGGATACTTTCTGTAAAGATGTAAAATATAAAGAACAAAATTACTTATGTCTTCTTTGGAGGCCTTCAGTTTGTCTTGGGACGTGGCGCTGTATTTTCCTCTGTGCAACAACTTTCCAGGGACGGAATTGCTGTGGACTTCCAGGAGGGCCCAAATCTGGCCTCCCCACACTGCAGTACAAATCATGGCTGCATCTTGGCACCACTAGGAATGAGGTTGCAATGTTAATGGGTCCCTGGAGCAGACTGACTTGTTGAGTGGTCACCAAAATTCAGGTCTTCCAAGTTTTCAGACTCTCCAAGGGAGAGTCTCACATTGTCCTCACTTTTTCCTGATTATAATGAGTGGCCAGGGACAGCCAGTGGGGCCACCTCACTCCTTATGATCCAGACATGACTCAAGTTTCTACCTGAAAGCTGCCTGGGTTTTGCAAGGACACACCACCATTCTTCAAGGTATTTAAATACCTCCAGGTGGGTCAGTCTGGTTATATTTGCCTTCACTTTGATGTTTCCACGAGCTGGGGCTTTTTTGTTTTTGTTGCTCTCCTGGAGTCCTGAATGGCCCTTACGAGGCATTCTTTCCAAGCTGACACATCAAAGCAACTCCTCCTGGTATCAAGAACTTTCTCCAACTGCGTGTCCTAGGGGCGAACACATCAGCACCAGAGGGATCTGAAAAACCAGTCTTGTCCACCTTTTGGAGCTACTCTCTCTTTTGAAGAGAGGACCTCCTAGGCCAAACCTAGATAACCAGGATTTCTGAATTCCTGAGCTTGGCCCTGACAATGTACGGACGAAATTACTCATTTCCAGGTGCCAAGAGGGCCGATCACCACAAGCAGACAACACCCGTCTCTACCACAGGCGTTTATTATCTTTTGTCTTTGGGTTATTTCAGATCACTGTGAAAGGAGGGAAGGTAGCAATGAAATCTTTTGGAAATTACACATATAATGCATGAATTAACCTCTCTTAGCTTCAATTTCCTTGCCAGCCAAGGAGGGGGCGGGGATAATAACACCCACCTTGCAGAGTTGGTGTGAAGAGTTACAAGAGATGATAGCAAACATCTGGTACGACACCTGCAGCCTGCATCAGTGCTCCTTAATCAGTAACTATTTTGACCGTGTAAAATGCATACAGTCATCTGAGCATTAAGACTTTGCAAATTCAGAGAGTGGTCCACAGACCAGCACCCTCGGCATCACCAGCCGCTTGTTAGAAAGGCAATTTTCTCAGCCATCCCAACCTGCTGAATCAGAACCTGCATTTTAATGGCATTCCCCAGGTGACCTAGTAACGCACTACAGTTTGAGAACCCTTGATTTAAGGGACAGGAATTTTACCTTTGAATTTGGCGGTGATGGCATTTCTCTTGGCAACAAACAGACAGTTAGTGAGTCCATCAATCAAGTTAAGGCAATATTTACCTAACACAGCGTGCTCCTGGGCCCGAGGCTCACCTTGCTCACCTGCTCTGCTCACCTGCCTCCCGCAGTCACCTGCTCAGTGGCCAAGACTCCGGGGAGATTGCAGGCTCCTTGTTTACCAGGCAAGCACAGATAAGGTTTCTCACAGCCCCACCTGAGCTCCTGTGCCAAGGTAAACTTGCTGTCCAGAATGGCTCCCTGACTGGAAAATGTGTCAGTCTATTTATTTCTCACTCCCACTGGAAAAAAGGTGGGGTGGGGGAGTGACTGGTCATGATGTCATTCTTTCCACGGAACTTCTCAAAGGCATTGCATTTCTCGGTGACTTCCAGGCGCTGCCTGTGTGTCTGCACAGTACGGAGCACAACTGGCCAAGAACGGAGTTTCTCTTCCTTCTCTCACCATGCTGCCCCTCCTCCACCTCCTGCTGGGCCTTTTATTCCCTGTGGGCCTTGCAGGCAGCCCTAAAAAGGAACCTGGAAGCCATGAGGTGTGGGAAAGTTTTCTTGACATTTCTCCCAGAGGTGAACTGCAGAGAAGTGGGAAAAAGGGTGAAGTGATCTTTCTAAAAGCCATACAAAGAATCAACGGCAGTTGCATTCATCAAAATTCTTGCTTACATTTCTCTGGAGAAAAGCTAAGATTTTCTCATTGGGTTTCTGTCCCCAGATTGATGGGAAATGCTAGCAGACAGCACTGGAGGAAATCTGGGCTCACCCAGAAATCTGGGCTTAATCAATGATTTCTGCCATTCATCCTTTTTACCAGGAGGCTCCTACAGCTCCACATTGCTTCCATCCCAAGTCAGAGGCACTTTCTGAAAACACAAAAGTTAATAAATTAAGAGAGGGGCCTTGCGCAGGCCAGTACAGAGAATTTTCGTGAACGAAGAGATAGAAAGCCAGTCCAATTTAAAAGTATTACAATGTTTTTGATAATATTTCAACATGTAGATAAAATCAGAGACTGATACAGTGAATAGGAGTGGACCCATTTTCCAGCTCTATTCTCCAGGGTAGACTTGTAGTAACAAACAACCCCCAAACCTCAGCGGCTGACAGCACTCATCTCCCTCCCATCCTCCCATCCTCCTAGGGTTGCCTGGGGGTGTCATGCTTGCTCAGGGACTGGGGAGGACAGAAGCTTTGTCTCTGGGCTGCCATGTTGGCCAAAGTTTTTGTGCATTGGCTCAAGAGGCCAGAAACACAAGTCAATTCCAGTCACATTTCATTGGCCAAGGCAAATCTCTAGGCTGCTCCTGATTCAAAATGGGTGAGGACATAGAATCCTACTATGGGCCTGGCAGGCAGAGAGCCAGAAATATTTGGTGGGTAGCGCTAATGATGGCCACATCAGCTTTAGCAAATATTAACACATTGCCTTATTTGCTTCATGTCTTTTTACTTCAAAGAAAGTAAATATCAGCGATACAATTGAGTTCCTCTCTGTACACCTCCCTCATCCCATTTTCTTCCCTCATTTCCCAGAGCTAAGCACTGTTTTGAGATCAGTGTTAATCATCTTCACATGTGTTTTTATACTTTTACTATTTTTACTACATTTTTTATGTATCACAGACATTGCAAAGGATTATTATGCCAGCTTTTAAATTTTATATAGTGTATAATCATATCTGTAGTATCACTATCTTCTGCAATATTCATTTCTCCCTTAGCATTACAATTGTGAGATTTTTATCTATGCTGACACATACTGTGTTGTATTCCATTGTATAACTCTAATACAATTTAATTATTCTCTTGTGGATGGACATTTAAGCTGTTTCCAGTACTGCAGTGAATATCTTAATACATGTCTTCTTGACTATATGCCTAGGAGTGGAATTTCTGGACATGATCATCTTCATTAGTTGTTGCCAAATTGCTCTCTGGAGTACTTGGATCAACTTACAGTTCCACTAGCAGTGAATGAGACTCCATGATTTAACATCTTTCCCAACACTTGGCATTGACATACACTTTTGCTATCTGGTGGGTGTGAATGGTATCTCATTGTTGTTTGGATTTGTACTTCTTTAATAGTGAAAGTAAGCATCTTTTTATATTTTTATTGACCTGGAGTTTTTCTGTGAATTGATAGTTTTGTCCATTTTCCCCCATATGTTGTCTTTTTCTTATTAATTAGAGATATCGCTTTGCATATTGTATTCATTGCAAATATTATCTTCCAGTCTATGGCTTGGTTTTCACTTTGTTCTCATGGCCTTTGTTGTACAAAAGTGAGTTTTAATGTACTAGTCCACATTACCACTTTTAAAATTAAACTTACCCCAAGTTTCTATTTTCAGTGTTTTTAAATGAACTCTTCATCTTAAAGTCACAAAGAATTACAAAGAATTTTTCTATGTCTTCATCTTCTGTTTTAAAGTTGTGCTTTTTTTTTTAAGTTTTTAAGTTTTAAAGTTGTGCTTTTTTTTTTTTTTAAGATCACCCAGGAATGATCTGATGTAGAAATCTACTATTTTCCATATGGATAAAGGTTGCTCCTAGCACTCATTTATCAGATAGAATACCCTTTCCCCACTGGCGTGTAACATCATCTCTGCCCCATCTTCTTTCCAAACATGGGCAGGCCAGTGACTGGGCCCTTTATTCTGCTCCCTTACTTATCCTTGTGCGCAGACTATATTGTCTTCTTTTCTAAATATTTTGATAATAAATCTTGATATCTGGTAGGGCAAGTTCTTCCACCTTGTACTTTTTCAAAATTGTTTCTCAGTTATTCTTGGCCCTTTGTGCTTCCAAGGGAATTTTGAGATCAGATTGTCTAGTTCAAAACAAAGCAGAACAAAACCAAACACAATCCAAACCCAACCAAAAAAAAAAAAAAAAAAAAGCTGTGTTAGACTTCAGCTGAAATTGTATAATTGATTTGGGAACAATTGACATCTTTATTATTTTACATCTTCCTTTTTATTTGTTTCCTTTTATCTGGCGTGTTCTCATGCTTTCCAAGCCCTCCATAAGATCCTGAATTTCGTCCTCTTCTTCCCTCTCTAACTCTTCTTACTTTGACCCAAACATGACTGACTTTCTATTTCCTGTTTTGGCTTCAGTATCTTTCCTTACTATACCATCCATCTCTTTCAAAAGTCTCCTAATTCTTTTAACTCTTTTCAGATGTGCAAAAGGTGAAGCCCAGACGCATGTCATAATGATAGGAGGGGAAGGGAGTTCTGGCAGCCTCCTGTGAGGAGATAGGAAGGCGTAATTCCACATGGGGGGTGCACAATAATCTCTCTGAGCTTCAGGATGTAGTATGTGCAGTGGTTAACAGCCCAGCCTGCTCGGTTTGAATTCCAGCTCTATCGTTTACCAACTCTGATCTTGGGTAAATTATATAACCTCAGCATGCCTCAGTTTTCCCTTCTGTAATGCAGGGATGAAAATGTTAATTCTCTCACTGTGTAACTGTGGAAAATAAATGAGCTAAAGTATGTAAAGTACTGGCCGGGCACGGTGGCTCACACCTGTAATCCCAGCACTTTGGGAGGCCGAGGCAGGTGAATCACAAGGCCTGGAGCTCGAGACCAGCCTGGCCAACATGGTAAAACCCCATCTCTACTAAAAATTCAAAAAATTAGTCAGGCATGGTGGGGAGTGCCTGTAATCCCAGCTACTTGGGAGGCTGAGGCAAGAGAATCGCTTGAACCCGGGAGATACAGGTTGCAGTGAGCCGAGATCGTGCCACTGTACTCCAGCCCAGGCGACAGTGTGAGACTGTGTCTCAAAAAAAAAAAAAAAAAAAAGTTCGTAAAGTACTTGGGACAATGCCTGGCACATTGTAGGTGTCTCATATGTGTTAACTATGATTGTCATTACTGAGATACCTAAGGCACACTGGAAATATGGTTAGTTTGAATGTTCAACTTAGATAATGTCAGAGTAGCTCACTAATCTCAACGCCACAAATAGAACTTGCTGGTTAGCGTTGTATCTTCTCATTAAGCAGAAGGGCACCATGGTATGGTGGATGATTTAATCATTAGTGATCCCCAATGGTGCTAGTTTAGCTCAACTGTGTTGTAAATTTCACAGAATCAATGAATTCAGGGTTGGATGGTGGCCAAGATAATCTAATCCAATTTCCTAACTCATGTGTAAAACCTCTTCCAATAAAGCTTCTATAGAAAAGGCAGATTTTTATGAGAGAAGATCAGAAAGGCAGGAATAGTGAAAGAACATCAGACCTCTTGAAAAATGAAATCGAAGAGATGGTAGAAAATAGCATGAATCGATAATGGTTCAAAGGTTGCTGAGAGTAACCATTAAGAGAGACTGAAAGTGAGGGGGTGTTTCTGGAGAGCTGATAGCCTAC
Organism: Homo sapiens; assembly: GCF_000001405.40. Taxonomy (NCBI): domain Eukaryota; kingdom Metazoa; phylum Chordata; class Mammalia; order Primates; family Hominidae; genus Homo; species Homo sapiens. The sequence goes on along the minus strand of NC_000002.12, from coordinate 30,213,810 downwards.
ATCCAGGAGAGAGAGACTTATCCAGGAAAAAGTCAGTTCCTGGGAAGCTAGGGAGTATTTCTCGAGATTCTACATGACTGCCTAAGTGGGCCATTTGAGGGGCTTGGAACATATCTCTCCCGCCTCCCTGCCACCAGGCTGCCAGGGAACGGTGCCCGCTTTGGGTTAAGACTTTGGATGCCCCTATTGAAAGGAAATATATATATAACGTACGAGCAGTAAGACTCCCACAGGGAGGGGTCTGCTTAAGGGGCTGCAGCCCCAGTAGAGGTCATGCGCCTGAGTGTGACGCAGCACAGTCATGAAGCTGGGCTCCCGCCCTGGCTCCACAGCACCTCTGACTCCAGCCCTGTGGCCACCTCCACCTCTCCATTCTCTTAGTTCATTCATTCGTTTAGCACACGGTGGGTACTGATGCCCCAGGAGTACAAAGACAAAACAGCACTCTACCCCTGCCTTTCACGGTGTGGTAGAAGGAAGCCATACCCAAACAGATAAGGGCAACGAAGCTGACCTTCTCAGAGCAGGTGGATAGTGTACTGGTTAGGAGGGCTGAATTTGGAACCAGAAGGGGGAAGCAAATAGTGAAGGGAGGCTATATTTGGAGGTAAGATGACTGAGAATTTTTTAGAAATAAAGAAAATACAAAACTTAGATTGAAAAATAAGCCAAGTGTTAAACAAGACAAATACAAAAAGGAACTCTCACCTAGATACATGGTAGTGAAATTTAAGAACATTAATGACAAAGAGAACATTCTCAAAACATGTATAAAGAAAAACTAGATCAACGAAAAGAGAAAAAGAATTAGAATGACAAAAAAACCTCGATAACAAAACCGGATACAAGAAGACAATGACGTTGGCAGGGCATGATGGCTCATACCTGTAATTCCAGCACTTTGGGAGGCCAAGGTGGGAGGACTGCTTGAGCCTAGGACTTTGAGACCAGCCTAGGGAACATAGCGTGACCTCATCTCTACTGAAAAAAAAAAAAGAAGAAGAAGAAAAAGACAACAAAGTAATATTTTAAAGTGTTGATGGGAAAGAACTTCAACAAACTATCATTTAAATAAAAGTAAAATAAAAATAGTATCAGGTATATAAGGCTTCAGATGGCTTATTCCTAAATCACTTTTGAAACATTCTTGAAGCTAATTTTTCAATAGAGAAATCTGGAAAAAAGGAAAATATATACATAAGTTCAGAAATGTGAGAAATAGTGTTTATCAACAACAAGACGTTGACCAAGCTGGTTTTTTGAAAAGGTTAACAAAATATATAAATGTCTGATGAGCCTGGTGGAGAAAAAAAAGAGAAGATAAAACCATGCATTAAATGCTGAAAGCCACAGGCTATGAAAAGTTTGAGACTAATACTATTATGAAGAATTATAATTTGGAGGCCTACTAAAATTGATACAATTCTGAAAAAATACAAAATTCCAAGACTGGAACAGAATAAATAACAAACTGTTTTGTCAAGTATTCAATTAAGAATTACAATATAATCAAAAACCTTTCTGAAAAGCCCTAGGCTCAGATGGTTTTACAGATAAGCTCTACCCACTTTTAAGGATGAGATAGGGCTGGGTGTGGTAGCTCACACCTGTAATCCCAGCACTTTGGAAGGCCAAGGTGGGTGGATCACAAGATCAGGAGTTCAAGACCAGCCTGGCCAACATAGTGAAACCCTGTCTCTACTAAAAATACAAAAATTAGCCGGGTGTAGTGGCCCATGCCTGTAATCCCAGCTACTCAGGAGGCTGAGGCAGGAGAATCACTTGAACCCCGCAGGCGGAGGTTGCAACGAGCTGAGATTATGTCGTTGCACTCCAGCCTGGGTGACAGAGTGAGACTCTTCTCAGAAAAAAAAAAAAAAAAAAAAAAAAAAAAAAGATAGATAATCTCTTGACATACATAAATTACCCCAGCAAATAGAAATGAGTTCCTCCTTTGCTATAAGACTGCTCTAATCTTTATTACAAAGTCAGAGGAGGATGGCAGAAACACACACACACAAAACTATAAGGCTATTTCATATTTGAAAATTCAGAATAAAATATGTTGATGGTATCCAATAGTGTATTTATTTATTTATAGCCTAATGTATTTTAATAACAAACATACAGGAATTGCACAGAAGACAGACAACATTAAAAATATGTATCTGTGGCTGAGTGCGAGGCTCACGCCTGTAATCCCAGCTACTCGTGAGGCTGAGGCAGGAGAATCACTTGAACCCGGGAGTTAGAAGTTGCAGATCACGCCATTGCACTCCAGCCTGGGCAACAACAGCAAAACTCTGTCTCAAAAAAAAAAAAAAAAAAAAGTACTTGCATGTAGGGCTCAGAAAAGTATAGTGAGTGCGTGGAATCTACTGTATGGTAAAAATGCTGCAAATACCATTTAGTCAATAAGACATTTATTTGTTATAAAAAATATTCAAGTGCTGACATTGTCCAGAAAAATTTAACAGGTTTATTTATAATTGTTATAAAGGTGAACTGCTAAAACGTATTCACTGAAACATTCTTTCTTGAATGCTTTATGTGCCCACATTTATATTAAAAATTCACATGAAAATGGAAAAGCTGCTGCTGTGGTTTGGATATGGCTTGTTTGTCCCCACCTGATGATATGCTGAATTTTTTTTTTTTTTTGACACGGAGTCTCGCTCTGTCGCCCAGGCTGGAGTGCAGTGGCACGATCTTGGCTCACTGCAACCTCTGCCTCCCCGGTTCACGCCATTTTCCTGCCTCAGCCTCCCAAGCAGCTGGGACTATAGGTGCCTGCCACCACGCCCGGCTAATTTTTTGTATTTTTAGTAGAGACGGAGTTTCACCATGTTAGCCAGGATGGTCTCGATCTCCTGACCTCGTGATCCGCCCACCTCGGCCTCCCAAAGTGCTGGGATTACAGGCGTGAGCCACCACGCCTGGCCATGTTTAAATTTAATTTCCAGTGTGGCCATGTTAGGAGGTGGCGCTTAGTGGGAGGTGTTTGGATCCTGGGGGCAGATGCCTCATGTATAGATTAATCCCCTCCCTGGGCATGGGGGTGCGGTGGGGATGAGTGACTTCTCACCTTATTAGTTTCTGCGGAGCTGGTTGTTAGATCCAGGTCCCCACAAACTCTTGTTTCCTCTCACCTTGTCATCTCTGCACATGCTGGCTCCCCTTGCCTTCCACCATACACGGAAGCCGCAGGACGCCCTCACCAGATGCCCCGTCTTGAACTTTCCAGCCATCAGAATAGTGAGCCAATTAAACCTTTTTTCTTTATAAATTACCCGGCCCCAGGCATTCCTTTATAGCAGCCCAACATGGACTAAGACAATTGCCAATACCTGATGTTTCTGTCCTATTTTTCCACATGCAATCATATATTTAGGTACCTTTTGATCCCTTGGGGGGGAAAATCTAATGGTCAGAACTACCAATAACAGAAAGAAGATTTTTTTTTTTTTTGAGAATGAAATGTTCCCCATCATAACAGATTCTTAAGCATGCCCTCCATATATCTGGAGTGCGGGCTGGATATATTTTGGCATAATTGTTACATGTTTGGCACCACTAGCACACAGGTTGGTGTCTTCAAAAAGGCCAAGCAGATAGGCCTCACTTCCCGCAAAACACCAATAGCTGTGTTCTGGAAGCACGATCTGTTTTGAAGTTCTGAGCAGTTTCTCGCACCAGACTCTGGAAGGAGAGTTTGCGAATCTGAAGCTCAGTGAACTTCTGAAAATGTCCAAGTTTGTGCATTGCCACAGTGGCAGGCCTGAAAGCACCCCTCCGGGATAGTCCTAGAGGTTTGGCCAAAGCAATAAAACTAGAAAAATAAAGAAGGACCATAAAGGTAGATGGATATTTCAGGGTTATGCTAAGAATCAGAGTAGGCCAGGTACAGTGGCTCACACCTGTAATCCCAGTACTTTGGAGGCCAAGGCAGGATTGTTTGAGCCCAGGAGTTTGAGACCAGCCTGGGAAACATACTGAGACCCTGTCTCTACAAAAAAATTTTAAAAATTAGCCAGGCATAGTGGCACATGCTTGTAGTCCCAGCTACTCAGGAGGCTGAAGTAGGAGGATTGCTTGAGCGTGGGAGATCGAGGCTGCAGTGAGCTGTGACTGTGCCACCGCACTCTAGCCTGACAGAGTGAGACTTCGTCTCAAAAATAAATAAGATCCAGAAATAACTAAGCCATTTTTAATAGAAAGAGAGAGAGAGGAAGAAGAAGAGAGGAGAGGAGAAGAGAGGAGAGGAGAGGAGAGAAGAGGGACAGGGCGGGGCAGAGCGGAGAGGAGAGGAGAAGAGAGGAGAAGAGAGGAGAGGAGAGGAGAGGAGAGGAGAGGAGAGGAGAGGAGAGAGACAGGTGACCTTACCACAAAGCCATGGTAGTAAAGGATGTGGTATTGGTACAGAAACAAGCAAATCATACAGAACAAACTAAAGAGCTCAAAAATATAAAACCCATTTTTCAATATGAAAACTTGACTTATGATAGAGGTAGCACCCCAAAACAGTAAGAAAAACATGAACTTGGGGACTGGTGGTGGGCTCTAACTAGCTCACTCTATGGAGAAAAATAAAGCTGTATCTCAACTTTATTATATCATAGTCAACTTTATATCATATTCTAAACTCCAGATGGAAATGTGGAATATCTTTGTGAACTCAGGGTGGGAAAACACAAGCCATATTTCTCTTTAGTGAAATTTACAGATAGCTGAGTGACAGTTGGGGAGAATATATTTGCAAACAACAAGAGATGTACACCTAGATTATACAGAGAGCTCTTGCAAACCAACGGGAAAAAGAGAACAATATGTGGGGGAATGGGAACACAAACTGGAAATGATAGGAAAATGAAATAAAACAAGAGAAGGCCTTTGCACAGCTTGACAATGGCAATGTACTGTAAATTGAGAAGGGAAACAGATGCAGAGAAAGGGTCATGGGCTGGAAAATAGCAGATTGACTCCTGGAGTCTTGGATTGCTGATATTCCAATCTTGTGCATGTTCCAGAGTTTTCTTGCTGCCTCTGGGTCCTGGAGGCATCCTCCTGGGGGAAGCCTCTTCTTCAGATGCACCCTGCTGTTGATACATCCTGCCTGAAAGGAGCCTTTGCAGCAGTCCTCACTGGCTCCCTTCTGCTTTCTTAGGCTTTGCTCTCAATGGTTTTCCTGCACTAACTTCCAGACCTCTACGGGCTTGGAAAGGATGTAAGCGGCTAGAATGGCAGGCTTCTGCTCCCTGCTGGCCACTCATGAGCATTACCCTGACAGCTAATCCAGCCATCAAATTCCACCAAATCTGTTTCTTCTTTGAGATCATTTTCTTTCCTGAAGATACATATTCTAAGGATTTTTTTCAGCTCTTACTGTATCTGAACAAAATAAAAATTATGATATTATACTATAAACATCAGACTACAAATCAAGAAACCTGGACTTGAAGCACGTGTCTTTTGTGGGATATTGGGCAAATCTTTCAGCTTCTTTATGCATATTTCCTTATTTGTAAAGTACGTATAATATAATTCTACACATTTTTGAGGGATAGGGTGTATTTGAGAGTGTCACAGAGCTGCGACTGAGGAAATTCCCAGTTAATATTCATTGATATTCATGGCTTTGCAGCGTTGCCACTGTCATTATTCCTCTGCTTATAGGAGACCTGAATTCAGTTCACATATTTCAAAGAACTGTAGAATTGAAAGGTACTTAAAGGCAGTCACAAAGTGGTTTTAAGAGGTTCCTTATAAGGCACATTAAAAGTAGCCAACACCCTTTCCATTGCTTAAATACTCCTGCCCCAAAACCTTACAAAAGGCCTCTGGTGGGAAATTCATTATCTCAAAAAGCAGCCCATTCCCTCATTGGTCAGCTGTGCCTGGGAGCAAGCTCCCTCTCCCTAGTAGGAGAGAACTCCACTTGACAACACCTGCTGAGCCCCAGAATTGAGGTGAAGGGGCAGGTTTGGGTCATATGCTATTTTCTGCCAAAATTCACTGGCTTTACTCATCCGTGGATTCATTTGGACTGGGGACTGCATGATTTTGCATTTATTAAAATATCTCATTCATGAATTCCCCAACACTGGAGTTTCTCTGGGAGAAACAGTCTCCTACCTTACCATGCAGGTGTTCTTGCACACCCTCTTGGCCACTCATGCTCAGTATGAAGTCCCGCCCAGCTGATTGACACCTGCAAGGTAATTGGGGGGCAAGTAAGCCAGGCTGGCATAAAGATTTAGTGAAGGGACCAGCGTAGTGGCTCACACCTGTAATCCCAGCACTTTGGGAGGCCGAGGCGGGCAGGTTGCTTGAGGTCAGGAGTTCAAGACCGGCCTGGCCCACGTGGCGAAACCCCATCTCTACTAAAAATACAAAAATTAGCCGGGTGTGATAGCAGGTGCCTGTAATCCCAGCCTCTTGGGAGGCTGAGGCAGGAGAATTGCTTCAACCCGGGAGCCAGAGGTTGCAGTGAGCCAAGATCACACCACTGCACTGCAGCCTGGGTGACAGAGCAAAACCTTGTTTCAAATAAGTAAATAAATAAATAAATAAATAAATAAATAAATAAATAAATAAATATATAAGTGAAGGGACCAGCTGAGGGCATCTGGCAGGAAGAGCACAAAAAGCAGGCAGCTGGAGTGCATGCAGACAGGGAGGAGGAGGCTGACTTTAGCTACCTGACACTTTTGGTGGAGGAGCTGCTGAAAATCATTTCACAATTTAGCCTTTGCCACTTGAGGGCCAGGTTTTGCATTCCTACATTAAGAAATCGCCCAGCCTGGAAGGCTCCATCTCTCAGCTGCTCACGGCCCTGCCCATTCTCTCCAGAGCTCAAATCTGAGAGCTGAGGTTCTGCCCTGCACTCATTGTGTTCCTGTTTAATCCACGTTCTGTACCCTCTGGAGGAAGTGAGAGGAAGAGCAATGATGGGGGAGATATGGGCAGGTTCCCCCACTCCCTCCTCTCCTTTTATTTGTATTTATAGAGGCAACATTTCCCTGTTTCACTATTTGTGGGGCCTCTAGATAGAATTAATTCTGCTTTTTAAAATCTCCCCTGCTAGACTGTGCATACCCTGAAGGCAGAAGCTGCGGCTGATCTGCTCATATCTCAGGAGCCCACATAGTGCCTGGTATATGACAAGCACTCAAAAATGCGTGTGGAATTTAAATGTATAGCGAGGCATCGGAATGGTTTCAAGTTAGCAATTTGACATCATTTAGTCTAGTGGTATTGAAACCTGAGTGTACATTAGAATCATTTTCAGAGCTTTTAAAAAATATTAGTGCCTGAGTCCCTCCTCAGGCCAATTAGGTCTGAATCCCTGAGAGTCACTTTTTGATGGTTAAAGACCCAGAAAGGGCTCATCGCTTATGGCATGATGCAGTGAATCATTTTAGAAAATGGACATTGCTTTCTAATACACAATATTTATCCATCTTATTATGTTTGAGTTATCATAGAATGCATTTTAAGTTGTGTTCACATGAGCAAAACACATAGAAAAATTTTTATAAAAGTAACTGGGAGGTGGGAGGCCGGGTGTGGTGGCTTACATCTGTAATCCCAGCATTTTGGGAGGCTGAGGAGGGTGGATCACTTGAGGTCAGGAGTTCGAGACGAACCTGGCCAATGTGGCAAAACCCCATCTCTACTAAAAAATACAAAAATTAGCCTGACATGGTGGCACACGCCTGTAGTCCCAGCTCCTTAGGAGGTTGAGGCAGGAGAATCACTTGAATCCAGGAGGTTGCAGTGAGCCAAGATAACATTACTACACTATAGCCTGGGTGACAGAATGAAACTCTGACTCAAAAAAAAAAAAAAAAAAGCAACTGGGACCTATGGAAAGAAAAAGGTAATTTTCACTGGGTATACAGAGGCTTGCCCATTCATGGGATGGCAAAAGGTTCAGCATAAGATCATAATAGTTGAGCCAAATGCTATTTAAAAGAAATGAATAAGTCAAAGGGGATAGAATGGGGTGAGAGAAGAAAGCCCCCCCAACACTGCCACCAACTCCCCACCCCTCACCTGAGTGTCCTCTTGTGATCCCTTCTTTGGAAATCTATATATATCTGAAAGTTCTTCTGTTTAAATGATCAAAAGTGATAAAAATCTAAATGTGGGTTTTAATTTGATTAAAGTGTCTGCTGAGAGATTCTCGCTTGGCTGGCTTCTTGCCTGTTAAGACTCAACTGCATGAAGATAGCAGGGAGCATTTACAGATTGCAGGATTCAGGACTGGGGCAAGGTGGAGGTGAGGAAGAAACTCAGCACCTGTTCCTCTAAGCATGGTTCTGGGCTGGCAGCATGGACCTTGCCTGGGAGTGCATTAGACCTATTGAATCTGAATTTGCATTGTATTAATAACAAGACTCCTGAATGATTTACAGACACACTAAAGGTTAACATTACTGCCTTAAAGAGTGCCCACCCCAGCCTCTGCCTGGTCATTGCCATGAGCTTTCCATAGAGAGGGCTAGAGCTTTTCTTTTGCATTCCAGTAGCCAGTATGTAGCTCTTCCAATATTTTCAAAACCTTTCTGAGCCCTTTCTGACCTTTTCTCTTTATAGGGAAAAGAAAAAAAATTAAAAAGAAATGAAATAGCTGTCATCACTGATTTGAGGCCCCCAAGGGAGAGAGGAAGAGATCAAAAGTCAACATCTGTGATTCTGCAAATAGAAAATGAAATGATTCCCAGGCAGCCTGGGAAGCAGCTCTAGGTTGCTGGGCTGGTCCTCCATGGTCCCATTAGAGGTGACTGTGCTCAATCCAGAGCCTTTAAAGGGAACCCCATGGCTGATGGGCATGGGGAGGCAGGAGTGCCCAGCCCTACTCCCAGGGAAAAGCAACATGTGCCTGGCAAGGCCTGGGACCAGAGGAGTAAGGCTCATGGAACCCTTCTGCTCGCTGGAGACCTTTACGAAGGAACAGAGCAGGATGAAATATCACCTGGATGTAGGGCACTTTGCACAGGTAAAATTCCAGTTACCTTCCCACTCCCTGTCTCTGAGATGGAGACTTGTCCTTCTTCCATCTGGGGACTGAGTCCACCTGGGATGCACACAATAGTTCAGAGCCCTGAGCCTTCTTGCTGTGTTACTGGCAAGTTGTTTTTCAGAGAGAAAAGCTAGAGTGTGGCAGAGAAATCAAGCAGCCAGTGTGGTGGGCATGATGGAGGAGTGGGGGATTCGTTCCAGAGACGGAGGTCTCCCACAAACCCCTGTATCCTCAACCTCACTGGGTTTTCCCGTCAGGGCTCCCAGAAGAGGCAACAGAAGCAAAAGGGGTGGATGTTACAGCTGGTGTTCAAGAGTCCTCTTGTGGGTCAAGTGCGGCACTAGGTCTTTTGCAAGCATTCCCCCTGCCACTCCTAACTAGAACCCTGCAAGGTAGGCAACTGCTCATTTTACAGAATAGGAAGCTGAAGCTCAGAGGCAATGAGTACCATTCCCAAGTTCAAAGAAGTAATAAGAAAATCTAAGGTCAGGGCTTGTAGAAAATCTAAGGTCAGTGATCTTTTCCTTGCCATACCATACCTGCCTCTGCATCCAGGGATTAAAAAGCACCCAATTCGAGTCTCCATTTTTTCTTTTCTTTTTCTTTCTTTCTTTTTTTTTTTTTTTTTTTTGAGCTGGAATTTTGCTCTGTCGCTCAGGCTGGAGTGCAATGGTACAATCTCAGCTCACTGCAACCTCCACCTCGCAGGTTCAAGCAATTCTCCTGCCTCAGCCTCCCGGGTAGCTGGGATTACAAGTGCCTGCCACCACGCCTGGCTAATTTTTGGTATTTTTAGTAGAGACGGGGTTTTACAATGTTAGCTAGGCTTGTCTCAAACTCCTGACCTCAGGTGATCCACCTGCCTCAGCCTCCCAAAGTGCTGGGATTACAAGCATGAGCTACTGTGCCTAGCCAAGTCTCAGTTTTTGAATTAATTAGTCCCAAAACCTTAAGCAAATCCCATCATTTACTGTGGCGTTGGTTTGTTTATTTTTTTGAATGAGAATATTAATAAGCCTTCTTTGTATTGTAAAGTGCCTGGCACACAGCAAATCGCCAATGGATTCTAGTTTTCTTCCTTCTTCCTTTTCAAATGAAGGGACTGGCCTTGGTACTGAGGCGTAAGTCATGAAGGTTTAAGATCGTATTACTGGCCCTCAAGTAGACTGACCATTCTCAGGCCAGGATTAAGATGCAGGGAGCCAAGGGCACCTCCAGCAGAGCTCCTGAGTCAATCAATGGCCACGTAGTTTTGTTCTCCACACCCAAGTGCAATTCCTCATCGGCTTCCTTGGCTCTCAGCTCTGTATACCCTTCTCCTCCATTTAGCCCAAGGACCTCCAAGGAGACAGGCTCACCTTGGCCCAGATGCAGTTTACTTTTCTCTGCTCTGAATTCTAGCCAAGAGTGAAAATCAAATGTACCAGCCTTGGGAACATCAGTTCCTCAGCCCCCTGGCAGCATTCCCAGCCTAGAGGGAAATGAAACCCCTAAGAGGAGCGTGTTCCGGGAGCCAGGACAAGAATGGTCCCTGGACTCCGCCATGTCTTCTCCAGCCTGCATCTCCTCTCTCCAGCCAGGAGAACACACCTCAAGAGTGGTCACGGAGGGTCTGAGCAATTCGGTAGAGAGGGGCCCTGGGCTAGGGTTCCCTGGCGTCCAGAACTGAATGCCTGGACTTCTGTTTCACTGAGCATTTCTTTCCCGACCTAGTACCAGTAAAACAAAAGCAGACCTGTTCCTGGCTTAAACATCAGGAGTAGAGATAAACATTGTCTTCCTTTAGATATTCTTCCCGAGATGTTTGGATTGTAGTTCCTTTTATGGATAAAACTTTAAATGCTGGTGCTCTTTAACCCAGCAATTCCATCTTCCTGAGGACAGATTCAAGGATCTGAACAAAGATGTACACAGATGTTCATGACATTGCCACTTATAATAATAAAAAATTGAAGACAGAATAATGTCCAACAATTGGGAAGCAGTTAAATAAATTATGATATATCTTTATGATGGGCAATTATACCCATTAGAGTGATGTTTTCCAAGAATTTTAATGGCTGGGAATATATAAGAATCTTGTGAAGAGAAAAGTGGGATTCAGAACTACATAAACTAATTATATAATACACGTGTGTATAATATATACACCCATGTAGAATAATATGATATGCATATGTATACATTTATAATATATAATGGAAAAATATGTGAAAGAAAAAACCATAAATATTAACAGTCCCTATCTGTGGATTATTTAATTATAGTTTTATTTGTTTCCTTATTTAATCTTTTCTATATTTTCCATGTTTTCTTGTCAGAATTTAAAAATATACTTGATAGGGGAGAAATGTTTGTTTGAATAAAAGGGACACAATTAAACTCCATCAATCAGTACCCATCATGAAGGGTACAGGTGACTCCATGAATTTGCAGAAAGAATTTTGAAAAGAACACTAAGAGCCCAGGATATCAGGCAGACGTAAAATCTAGCTTTTAGTGTCTCCCCCATATCAGTTTTGGTTGCATAACAAAATCATGTGACTAAGAACAACAATAATTTATTCAGTTCCTGATTCTGGGCTTAGCTGGGAGGTCCTTTCAGTCTGGGCTAAGCTTGGCTGTTGTTCCCTGGACACACTCACTTGTCTGGGGCCTCAGCCAGGATGATCTGGGGCCTCTCTCCATGTAGTGTCTTTTCTTTTAGGCTTGTCCCATGTGGCAAAACTAGATTTTAAGAGAGAACTGAAGCTATAAAGTCTCTTGAGGGCTATGCTCAAAACTGGTGAGCTGTCACTTGCATGGCATTCCAAAGCAAGTCACAGGCCAGCCCAGACTCAAGGGGTGAGAAATAGACTCCGTCTCTTGACGGGAGAAGCTTAGGGTACTTCGACCTTGTTGGCAGATTACAATATTCTTGTTCAGTGAAACTCCATTTCCATGAAAATAGCTCTTGATAAGATGAAAGTTTTTAAAAAACGTAATGTCAAATCTTGAAATCATCTGTGGTAACTTATACCTAAATAGTATTAGTCTGTGGTTGTCACCTTTTCTTTTTTTAACCAAGCAGGGCCTAGTCCATTAGTGCTGATGGATTTGTTACATGAGTTAAAGTGGTGTGTATATAAAATATTTGTAATAGTGCCTGGCAAATACTAATCACTATCAAAATATTAGTTATCATTATTGTTAATGTTGATTTTTATACATAATCTGTGGTGAACTCAAATTCTAAACGGAGTTTGGGGTAGAGAGGGGCTATTTCTGCTGCCTGTAAGAAGTGCATCCCTGGCCGGGAATGGTGGCTGATGCCTGTAATCCCAGCACTTTGGGAGGCCAAGGTGGGCAGATTATGAGGTCAGGAGTTTGAGACCAGCCTGGCCAACACAGTGAAACCCCGTCTCCACTAAAAATACAAAAAGTTAGCTGGACATAATGGTAGGCACCTGTAATCCCAGCTACTTGGGAGGCTGAGGCAGGAGAATTGCTTGAACACAGGAAGTGGAGGTTGCAGTGAGCCAAGATTGTGCCATTGCACTCCAGCCCGGGTAACAGTGCAAGACTCTGTCTCAAAAAAAAAAAAAAAAAAAAGAAGTACATTCCAATAACCCCTGCTCTCAGCCACGTTTGGAGACGCTCAGATGTCTATATGCATTCTTGGCTCCATTCCCTTCCCGCAGGGACCAGGTTTTTGCTGGGAATACAAGTCTATCCTCAAAGAGATTTGTGTCTATAGCAAGACAGCCCTCCGCCTGGAGCCCTGGATTTTTACCCACACCAGCACACACTTGCATCATTTGCTGCTAGCCCTAAAGGCAGGGAAAGACATGAGCAGTAGAACTGAAGGGGCCAGGGAGACCTCCAACCCTGCTGTACACTTGTGTAAGCTTGGCCACATTCCTATGGGAGAGGCTATCCTTACGTGAGTTTGGTGCCTATGTACATCACTTTAACCAGAAATACTAAGGAATTTTCAGAATTCCCTTTCTTGTACTGTTCTAGGCTAGGGTTGGCCATAAGAGGAGTTCATGAGATTTGGAAGTGGAAGTGAAATAGCAGCCATTTCTATGCTCTGAAGGTTGATGTGGGCTCAAGCACACAATTGCTGGTCTCCTGGCCACCTTGTGAGCGTGAAACAGCAGCTGAGTCCACAGCCCTTATTGGTCTTGTCGAATCTTCTGCTTCTCCAAATCCTGGGCCAGCTTGTGCAGCTCTGTGGGGCACCAGTGAATCCTGCAGGTCACTTGCATCACTGAAAGAGAGTGAGACAAATGTGAGTTCCAGTTTGTCCTCCAGGGTCCCAGTTTGTCTTCATGGGTTCTAATCTAGTCTTACTCTCCCCCTCTTCACACTCATCTCTCCTTTCCAACTGCTGGCTCTACTGACTTAGGACCAACACTGGACATGGCAACAGCTGCATTGGGCAGACTGTTGAATCAGCTCCCACAATTGTGTAAGGTCTAATTCCCCCAAATGTCTTCATTCTATATCACTCATAGTGGCTCTTCCTTTTCGATCAAACCCCAGTGGATATATTGAGGGGCTCAGTGACACACAATGACACATAGTGTCAGGCTTTGATCCTAAGACACTCTACAAACCCATCCTCCCTCCATGATAGTGCCACCATGTCCTCCTCTTTTTAATCTTTGGCTAACTTATTCTACCACAAAACTGGCCCAGTTTCTGTAGCAAACCAATAGGTTGGAGAAAAATTGGAGTGAAGAATGGGAGAGGGTGGACTGCTAGGTTATAAGAGAATTAAGAGACAGAATCACCAAATGCAATGTGTAGACCTGATTCAGGTCCTAATTAGAGTAAACCATCTCTAAAGGGATATTTTTGAGATAAATGGAAAACTTAATTAGAGTGTAGATACGAGATAATATTAAGGAATTCCTGCTAATTTTGGTAGGTGTGACAATGACATTGGGGCTCTGTAGGAAAAGTTCTCATTTTTCAGATGCATACTGAAATGACACAGTGCTTAGTGCTTTTTTCTTTTCAGCAAAGATAAAAAAGGATAAATGAAGTATCTTAAGTCTATTTGGGCTGCTATAACCAAATAGCATAGACTAGGTGGCTTTTGAACAACAGAAATCCATTTCACACTGTTCTGGGGGCTGAGAAGTCCAAGATGAAGGTGCTGGCCAACTTGGTGTCTGATGAGGGCCTGCTTCTTAGTTCATAAATGGTGCCTTCTGGCTGTGTCCTCACATGTTGGAATGGGAAGGCAGCTCTCTGGGGCCTCCATTAAAAGTTTCCAGTCTGCTAATATCAACCCAATAGAATGGTATTAAGAGGTGGGGCCTTTGGAAGGTAAGATTAGGAGATTATCACCTCCCAAAGGCCCCACCTCCTAATACCATCAAACTGATGATTAGGTTTCAATGTGTGATTTTTGGAGCAACACAAACATTCAGACCATAGCAGGAAGAAAATCTGGATCCCCTTTGATAATTGTTGAATCTAGGTGATGGATAATGGAGGTTCTTTTGTGACTCAGTCGATTCTTGTGTTTAAATCAGGCAATTCTCACAGTGCTGCTCTCTCTGGCACATGGTGGGGTTTGGGTGTAAGTTGTTAATCATCTCAGTTGATTCCCTGCCCGAGAACAGAGTAGGGAATTAGGAAACCCTGGTGTTCAGGATGACTTTTCCCAGCAGCATATTGCTTTATGTCTCCTTTTTCTGAATGTTTTCTTCAGGAAATTGGTCAGAGGAATTTGGTTTATGGTGTGTCTCCTGCCTAAGGCCTCTGCCTAAGGCCTCAGAGGATGCAGCCAGCAGGCACCATCTATGAATCAAGAAATAGGCCCTCATCAGACACCAACTCTGCCAGCACCTTGATCGTGGACTTTCCAGACCCCAGAACTGTGAGAAATAGATTTCTGTTGTTCAAAAACCACTCATTTATTATCTTACAATTCTGGAGGTCAGAAGTCTGAAATAGGCCTTACAGGATAAAATTAAGGTGTCAGCAGGGCTGTTTCTTGCTGAAGACTCGTGTTGCCTGGGTGCCCCCATGAAGAGGAGACTGAATGTGCTGCTCCTGGCTAAGTTGTTAAGGATTCACGTGCAGGATTTTCTGGGGTCCATATAGAGCTGTGGTCTCCACTCCCTTCACCTCAAGAGCAGACAGCTTCTCAAAGAGTCTCAATGTACAAATTCAAATTTTGTGGGTTTAAATGCGTAAAGACCTAGATTTCTGCAGATCAAGAGTCTGTGACTTCTAGACCTATAGTAGAGAATGGTTAGGGCCATTACAATGAGGTGGTTCCCAGGGCCAGGACTTTGAGGGGCTCTTACTCAGAACTCCATGCCAACAAACAAATGGCTCCATTCCACTCCTGGCCACCTCCCTCCCCAACACTAAATTAACAAATATTTATTGAATGTATATACTGGAAGTGACCTTAGATAAATAGTAAACCTTTTTCTTTTTTTTTTTTTGAGACAGAGTTTCATTCTGTTGCCCAGGCCGGAGTGCAGTGGCACGATCGTGGCTCACTGCAACCTTCACCTCCTGAGTTCAAGCAATTCTCATGCTTCAGCTTCCTGAGTAGCTGGAACTACAGACATGCACCACCATACCCGGCTAATTTTTTGTATTTTTAGTAGAGACAGGGTTTCACCATGTTGGCCAGGCTGGTCTTGAACTCCTGACCTCAGGTGATCCTCCTGTCTTGACCTCCCAAATTGCTGGGATTACAGGTGTGAGCCACCATGCCTGGCCATAAACTTTTATCTGAAGATGTGGAAACTGGGGTCTAGAGAGGCTTGGCAGCCTGCCCAAAGCCACTCTGGTGGAAATTTGCCATTTTAGTCAGCTGCCATCTGAATACCTTCCTATCTGGGGGATTTCTGAGATAACCCAGAGACAGGGTCCCTGCTGCACCTTGGAAACTGGAAACTGTGTTCTCAGCCCTGGCACCTACTGTGTGGGCACTTGCCATGTGAGGTCAGTCCAGACCTCCCGCCTGAGTCTTGAGGGGGCGAGATGAAGGTGTGAAGTGAGGTGGGATCTGGCAGCAGTTGCACATGTCCCAGGGAGGGGTGCTCACCGAGGCAGTGGCAAGTGTCCAGTAGGGGCAGCGTCCTGAGCAGGCCACTCCTGGGGCAGGGCTCTGCTGTGTCTCCCTGCCTGAGCCAGTTTCTCCAGCCTCCCCGGCAGTTCTCAGCTGCTTGGAGCCTTCTGTATTAATTTCCTGATACTGCTCTCCCAAATTTCCACAAACTCAGTGACTTAAAACAACATATATTTATTGTCTTACAATTCTGGAGGTCAGAATTCTGAAATAGGTCTTACAGAGTAAAATTAAGGTGTTGGCAGGACTGGTTCTTGCTGAAGTCTCTAGGGCGAAACCCATTTCCTTGCCTTTTCCATCTTAAAGGGGTTGTCTGCATTCTGTGACTCAGGGTCCCTTCCTCCATTTTCTTTTCTTTTTCTTTTTTTTTTTTTGATGGAGTTTTGCTCCTGTTGCCCAGGCTGGAGTGGAGTGCAATGGCGCGATGTCAGCTCACCGCAACCTCTGCCTCCTGGGTTCAAGCAATGCTCCTGCCTCAGCCTCCCGAGTAGCTGGGATTACAAGCATATGCCACCACGCCCGGCTAATTTTGTATTTTTGGTAGAGACGGGGTTTTTCCATGTTGGTCAGGTGATCCACCCACCTCGGCCTCCTAAAGTGCTGGGATTACAGGTGTGAGCCACGACGCCTAGCCTCTTTTTTTTTAGCGGCTGAGTTTTGCTCTGTCGCCCAGGCTGGAGTGCAGTGGTGCAATCTTGGCTCTCTGCAACCTCCACCTCCCGAGTTCAAGCAATTCTCCTGCCTCAGCCTCCCAAGTAGCTGGGATTACAGGCGCGCACCACCACACCCGGCTAATTTTTGTAATTTTAGTAGAGATGGGGTTTTGTCATGTTGGCCAGGCTGGTCTCGAACTCCTGACCTCAGGTGATCCACCCACCTTGGCCTCCCAGAGTGCCGGGATTACAGGCGTGAGCCACTGCACCTGGCCTCCTTCCTCCATTTTCAAAGCCAGCAGTGCAGCATCTTCAAGTCTCTCTGACCTCCACTTCTGACGATGTCACAAGTCTTTCTCTGACTCTGACCTTCCTGCCTCCCTCTTCTAAGGACCTTTGTAATTATATCAGACCTAACCAGATAATTCAGGATAATACCACCATCTCAAGATCCTTAATGTAATTACATCTGCAAAGTCCCTTTTGGTAACATAACACATTCACAGGTTCCAGGCACTAGGACATGGATATCTGTGGGGGGACATTATTCAGCTGATGACACCCTCCAGAATTTCCTCATTCTATTTAAGAAAACCAAGAATGGTTTCAACTTTTTACAGCAGAAACCCTTGACTAGCACAGTCAAAAACTCATAAGTGTTAGTGCAAGGATGGAATCTGCTTTCTTTGAAGAAAACAGAAGCCGCAGCGATTGCGCTTGACATTGAGCAGTCTTTCCCAGTATGGTGCAGCCCTGTTTGGCTCCCTTCGCCATGAATCTCTCCACCCAGCAAGGGGTTTTTGCTTGCTCAGTGTGTAACCACAGAACAGGCACGTGATCAGGGTTTCTGGAAAGCAGATATGAGAAACATGAAGGAAAACATTAAAAAAAAAAAAAGTTCACACCCTCCAAGTCAAGAATTCCCCTTTCAGGAATCTATCCTAGAAAACAGAGAGGCTGGGCACGGTGGCTCACACCTGTAATCCCAGCACTTTGGGAGGCCGAGGTGGGTGGATCACCTGAGGTCAGGAGTTTGAGACCAGCCTGACCAACATGGAGAAACCCCATCTCTACTAAAAATACAAAATTAGCTGGGCATGGTGGCGCATGCCTGTAGTCCAAGCTACTCTGGAGGCTAAGGCAGGAGAATTGCTTGAACCTGGAGGTTGCAGTGAGCTGAGATCGCGCCATTGCACTCCAGCCTGGGCAACGAGAGTGAAATTCTGTCTCAAATAAAAAAAAAAAAAGAAAGAAAAAAGAAAATAGAGAATAAGAATGCACCATCATACACCCTGCTGTTGATATCACCAAGGCCAGGGCCCTAGAGGCTGCCAGAGGCAGGTTCTCCCCACCACAACCAGGGAGGTGGGCCTGCTCCAGCCAAGGGTCAGCGCTTGTCCTGTGTGTCAGAGCACTTTAGAGGAAAAACCAAGTTACCCCAGGAATGGAGGGCTGATTGGATGGGTGCAGGTGCACAAGAACCCAGGGTAACGTGGCTGAAGCCTCAGACCTTGGAAAGGAAGGAAAGGAGAAAGGCAGCTCTAGCGGTGGTTCCTATTTTCTCTCTCTCTCTCTCTCTCTCTCTCTCTCTCTCTCTGGGTCTCTCTCCAGCCATCTTCTCTGTTCTCCACCCTATCACAGGCTTCTTCTGTTTCTCAGGCTAATACAACCCAGCATAGCTGTCCAGCCCTCGAGGCTACCTGACCTTCTATCTCAGGTCTGCACAAACTGGCCAGTTTCTCCTCTGTCTCTTATTCTTGCTCAGTAGTTGAAGTCAAGCCTCAGTATCTGTGGATCAGCTCGTGGTTGGCCCCCAGTCGCTGGCTGTGGCCTGGGCAGGCAGGGTAGGTGGCCTGATGCTCGCTGATGGGGGAGTTGCCCTCCAAGTGTGGTCTGTGGAGAGGGCAGCAACATTACTAGAGGTGCTTGCTATAAACTGGGATTTCAGCACCCCCCTTACCTCCCTTCAGACCTACAGAATCAGACCCTCTGCAGGGTGAGGTTTGGGAACCTGGATTTAAATAATCTCCCCAAGTGGTTCCTGTACATGATAAAATTTGAGAAGCCCAGAGAGTAGAGTGGTCCTCCTGACTATTTGTGTTCAAATCTGTACTGTCTCTGGCACTAGCACTCTTTGGGCGAGGGACTTGTCTCTTGCCTTTTTTCTATCACCAGACAGAGTTGAGGGCCATGGCCTACGCTGCTTCCCCTGGAAAGCAGATTCCATCCTTGCACAAACACTTACGAGTTTTTGACTGTGCTGTATGAAGGCTTGACTCCCACACTGGCTGCCTACCTTCAAGCCATCATCCCCCTTGGTGTCTGGCCAAGTGGCTGCCAGTGGCTGTCTGGACGAAAGGGCAGCTGATCCTCCAGCTGGTGACAGAGGTCAGGAGTGCTCCCTACTTGAGCAGGATGGCTACAGTGCGTCAGGGAAGCTGTCCCCGGGCACCCACACTGGGGCAGCAGTGGCCTCTGATGGACACACAGGCAGGAGAGGCCACCTCTAGGTTAATCCAGGTTTCCTACTGTGATGGATTCAGCCCACTGGAAACAGCTGGAAGAACTGAGAGACGCATGATGGATGCAAAAACTCGAAGTCACAATGGGCAAGAGATCAGGCGAGTCTGAAAGGGCTGACGCACCTTTGTTCTAAGGAATTCAATTCAAGAGACACTGCGAAAATGTTTGTGTTGGGCTGCACATAGGGATGAGGACTGAGGCATGCACTAGGGAAGCCTGAGTTTCATCCTTCGAATTCTTCGCATCCTTGCTGAGGAGCAAGGCCCACAAATGTGTATCCTTCCTTGGGGACGGGCTCCTAAGAGCTGGCCACATCTTCTCTCCCCCATTATAAAGAAGACGAAACTGAGACCCAAAGAGGTGAAGGCCACTAGGTCAAGAGCCAGGCTGCATTAAGCGCCATGGGCACGGAAAGGAAGAGGACGCTGATGAAGGCAAGTGTTGGCTGGGGCAGGGGCAGAATCTAAGCTGGGCTTAGAAGAGGAACAGGAGGAAGGACGAGAGCACCATCCAGGTGGTACAGAGAGAAGGAAACAGGACCTGGGGACCCTGGTGCTCACTGAAGGGCAGGAAGAGAGACCTGAGGGGAAGGCTGGCTACATAATTTGATGCAGATGCAAAAAAAAAAAAAAAAAAAAAAAAATACAGAGCCCCTGCTAGGTCAGGAAAGCATTTTCACCTTCCCATGGCCTGCCAGCTGCCATCCAAGCCAGAGAGGCCAGGTGACCCCCAAGGGATGACAGCTTCCACACTGGGATGACTTGGTAGCTGCATCGGGGGTGGAGGGAGGTTCTGGCTGAGTTGCTTGTGCCAGCCCTGAAAGAGGACAGCTGCCGACTTGCCTCATCCCAAGATGTCACAGCGTGTGTGTCTGACCCTAATCCTCCCATGCCTGTGCCCAGAAATGTGGGTCTGTCCCTGCTGATGCGACCTGGTCACCACCCTGGGCAGAGGATAGCAGTGATGGCAGGACAGGAGCGTGGAGGGGAAGGCCAGGCAGGGCTGGAGACCAGGAGGTGGGGAGGAGGGACCTAGGGAGGCAGCAGGGGGAGGGACAGGGAATGAGATGAGGCTCCGTTGTGAGTCAGACTTCACTTACAAAGCACAAATTCAAAGAAAGAATTACTAAGAATTTCAAGATAGCCACTGCAGAGCATTCAGTCCTGAGCGCAGGGGGCCCTGATGAGTGTGGGGCCCTGGGTGGCTGCTCTGGTCACACACGTGTCCATGAGGCTGGCCCTGCCTGGGTACTTCGCCTATAACCCTGGCTCCATCCTGGGGGCCTCCCCTGCCGGCTTCTGGGAAGGCACAACTAGTTATAACCAAAGTCACAGCCCAGTGAAGAGGGAACAGAGGTGGCGAAACCAGAGACCAGCGCAGCTGTGCATGGAGGAGGCGCCCGCTGCGGGAATGCAGTGGAGATGAACAGAAAATGAAATGATATGAGATAGCCACCAGGAAGAAAAATAACTCTTTCTATTTTTCCTAATTGAATATCTTCCACGAGTGCTAAATGATTTTTTTTTTTTTTTAACAGAAAGCTCTATTTTGATTTTCGGTCCTTACAGACTGTTATTTGACTTTCAAAACTACATCAGTACCATAAAAATGAGTCATTGGATGGTTTAAGTAAATCTTTTTGGGGAACTGTAGAAATATTTTCTGTTGGTGAACACTCTTTGTAATCCTAGTCTAAGGAATATTTACAGGACTATAAATTTGTGATGTTTTCTTAGTTTTAAATGTCAACTTACAAAATAGAGGACTTTTGT
This sequence comes from Homo sapiens, assembly GCF_000001405.40. NCBI lineage: Eukaryota > Metazoa > Chordata > Mammalia > Primates > Hominidae > Homo > Homo sapiens. The sequence continues at coordinate 30,192,750 of NC_000002.12, read as the reverse complement.
ATATATTTAAAAAAGCTGCCTATATTTATAAAGTACTATTTTCATCTATTGTTTACAAATGCCTTGTCATTTGACAAATATATAGTGACATGTATCTACCATGATGGCATCATACAGAATAGCTTCATGGCCTAAAAATTCTCTGCTCTGCCTATAAATCCCTCCCGGGCAACCACTGATCTTTTCACTGTCTCCACAGTTTGCCTATTCTTACATCAGTCCTGTGAATGAAGGGGCAGGGAGAGAACCAATGGCTGTCGAGAGCCTGCTACACTGCAGACAGTGTAGTGCACCCACAGGCCTGGCTCTGTGACCTTGAGCATCAAAACTCTCTGCTCCTCAGTTTCCTCATTTGCAAAATGGGAACCATTTAACCTCTCATAGGTAGTTATACGAGCGGGGCATTGTATATGAAATGATATAGTGAGTGTGGTTGGCACCAAGGAGGCATTCGAACGGTAGCTTTTAATGAAGAAAATTCTCCCCTAAAACCTGCACGAGAGGCATCATGTCTCTATTCACTAGCCCAAGCAGGTCTGGGTGGGTAGAGGCGTCAGGGACCTTGCCTGGTCCACCCTCCTCTAAGCCTGGGTTGCCACTGCTGCCCACACTCTCAGTGACTACGGCAGGAACTAACGTCCCCACTTCTCACGTAGGAATGGAGCCTCAGAGGGTCTAAGTGATAACTCAGGGTCCCACTGCTCATAAAAGAAGTGAGGTTATCTTCAGGCTGTCAGTCCAAAACTAAAACAGGCACATGAAAGGCTTAGCACAGCTCCTCGTAAGATAACAAGGAGGTGGGAAAGATAAGGGGCAGAGAGAAGTGAGGAGGCACCCTCTCCGCCCCAGCCCCTGTCACAGTTGCCCCTCCCCCTGGCTTTACCTCCTCAAAGGCACAGGGTTCTTTTCAGGGCCTCTGTGACATTTCCCCTCCATTATCGCTGGGCTGCTCTGCTGTTCAATTCCATAGCCCTGGGATTACTGGCTCTTCTATCCTCAGCAGGGTGTCCTGTGACCCTCCGGGCACTTTCATTTCAGGGTGACATTGCCACACAGATCTGCTCAAAGAAGTTCATGCTCTTCCATGTCAAGGAAAGCAGGCAGTGGTTCCTGTTCATGCCAACAAGCGCGCCTCCCGCCGATCGCTTGTCAAACAAGACGCAGGGAGAGCATCTTTGTGTTTTCAAGCTAACAGGTACCATGAAGCAGCCAGCATTGCTTCTCCTTTTTCCTGCTGGCATCTCTCCTCCTACACCTGGCACTCAATAGAATCCTACTCACTGGGCACTGTTAGAAGCAAACAGTTTGATGACCAGAAAGGAGGAAGGCAGGCAGGGCGCGGTGGACTTGCCAGATTGGCTTCTTTCACTTGGTTAATATCCCCACTTAAGGTGCCTCCATGTCTTGTCATGGCTTGATAGCTAGTGTCTTTTATTTTTTTCCTTGAGACGGAGTCCCGCTCTGTCACCAAGGCGGTAGTGCAGTGGCGTGATCTCGGCTCACTGCTGATACGGCTCCCATGAGTGGAGGGACACCAGGGCTCTTGTCTTACCTTGAATTAGGTAAAACAACACTGACACACGTGGAGTGGTTTTAAAGAGCGGAGAGTTTAATAGGCAAGAAAGAAGGCAGAACTTAGAGGCTTCCCCTTACAGAGACAGAGGGAGGGGGGCTCCAAAGCCGAAAGAGGAGGGCCCCAAGTGTGGTGGACGCCAGCCAGGTATACATGCAGAGGCCGGAGGAGGCGATCTGATTTGCACAGGGCTTAGCGGATTGGTTTGACCAGGCATGTTTTATTCACGTAGCAGGGAAAAAGCTGGCCCTCCCTTCCTAGCCTTTTAATATGCAAATGCAGGGCGCTGTGACGTTCTACGCATGTGGGGATATGTGGCGGACGTTGCCAGGAACATGTGGGGCAAGGGCAAGAAGGCAGCAGTAACCGCCATGTTTGGGTAGGCCCAGTTTCTAATGGCCTGCATTTGCATATCAAAAGTTGCCGGCCCAGCTCTAAGAGCTGGGACTTCCCAAGGACCCTTTTTCCTCTCTATCTGTCTCAAATAATTTCTTTCTTTTTTTTTTTGAGACGGAATCTCGCTCTATCACCCAGGCTGGAGTACAGTGGCGCGCGATCTCGGCTCACTGCAAGCTCCGCCTCCCGGGTTCACGCCATTCTCCTGCCTCAGCCTTCTGAGTAGCTGGGACTACCGGCGTGCCCGCTACCAGGCCGGCTAATTTTTTGTATTTTTAGTAGAGACGGGGTTTCACTGTGTTAGCCAGGATGGTCTCGATCTTCTGACCTCGTGATCTGCCTGTCTCGGCCTCCCAAAGTGCTGGGATTACAGGCATGAGCCACCGCGCCTGGCCAGATAATTTCGTAATAACTCCTACAACACTGCAAGGTTCAAGAAATTCTGTTGCCTCAGCCTCTTGGGTAGCTGGGATTACAGGCACGTACCACCACGCCTGGATAATTTTTTTGTATTTTTAGTAGAGAAAAGGTTTCGCCATGTTGACCAGGCTGATCTGGAACTCCTGACCTCAGGTAATACCCCTGCCTATGCCTCCCAAAGTGCTGGGATTATAGGTGTGAGCCACCCCGCTCGGCTGTTCGTGTCTTTTTAGTGCTGAATGTTGGATATAAAACGCTTCAGGAATAAATGCTTGGTGCCGCGAAGTAAAACCAGCACGCAGGCAAAAGTTTAATTTTCTCAACAAGGCAATTTACTTCTGCAGACGGGTGCCACTTGCATTGATCAAGATGGCAAGAGCATAGAGAACAAAGGAGACCAGGGGGTTTTTATCCTTAATGCAGTCCCTATCTCTGTGTCACCCCCCCCCATGGGCTGGGGTCGGACCGCACAATCTGAGCTGACCCCATTGGCTACTTGTATATATTTTTCTAAATATAAAAGGGGAGGCGGAACGTGAGGTACAGAGGTGGAGTGTGTGAGACGTGCAGTTTTTGGGGGAACAATGGGTACAGGTAACCAAGGGAACAGACGTGAGTTATTGATTAGAGCTGACGGGAAGGGGGTAGGCTGTTTACAGTAACTAGGGGCAAGGAAGAAAAAGAAAGTTGAGTTTGAGAACAAAGGATAAGGAAGTTAATAGGCTAAACCCTTTGAAGACAAACTCAGAAAGATTTATTGTATCTTATATGAATAATATTCCATTGTCTGAATGTATCACCGTTTACCTATCCATTCACCTCCTGAAGGACATCTTGGTTGCTTCCAGGTTTTGGCATTATGAATAAAGCTGCTAAAAGCATCCATATGTAGGTTTTTGTGTGGATGTGTTTTTAAGGTACCTCATTCTTAGAAGGTATGAGGCAAAGAGGGAGATCAAGGATTTTTCATACATTGTAAAATAAATAGGAGATGATTCCATGACTTATGATAGCTTTTTCTGAGATCTTGAGACCAGAATCACTTTTTAAAATTGGCAATAGAAAAAATGACACAGAGTTTCCTCCTCTGAAAGGCTTTCTTTGACCATCCTTCCTTCCATTCAAGCTCCAGAAACCTCCAGACCTTTCTCAAGTCAGGATCATGGCTTCTGACTGTTCTCATGGTTCTTGCACTGTCTTCCTCACCAGATTGCAAGGACTTGAGGACAGGGAACTGCATCTTACTCATTTTTGTGTCCTCAGATCCTAGCAATTGTTCAAAAGGAGTTTAATGGATATATGCAGGCAAACAGGAATTTTGTCTTTCCCTTACTCTAGAAGCGAAACCTAAATTTACATCTGTATCTATAGCTGACTCAGTTTGTCTTTTGGTAGCTCTGCTCCATTGTTCAAAGGACTTTTAAGAACACATTCATTTTTACTAATGCTTTATGAGGCTGAAGGTGTTGTTATTCCTACTGGGATGCAAATTCCAAGGTCAACAGAGTAAGTCTTCAAGCCAGGAATAGAACCTGGGTCTTTTGCTCAAACCAATGCCCTCTCTTATCAGTGTCATCTCAGTTTTCTGTAGCATTGATAATGATGAAGGGTGTCCAGGGTCTTGGCGTCTCAAACAAATAATTGGACAAAACACACAAAGCAAAGAAAGAATGAAGCAACAAAAGCAGAGATTTATTGAAAACAAAAGTTCACTCCACAGGGTGGGAGTGGGCCTGAGCATAAGGGCCCAAGAGCCCCGTTACAGAATTTTGGGGCATTTAAATACCCTCTAGAGGTTTTCACTGGTGTACACTCTATGTAAATGAGGAGAATGTAGTAAAGTTACAAAGTCATTTAGTTGGTGTACGCCCTATGTAAATGGAGAGGGTATTTCCTGTCATAGCTGAAGTGTTTCTATTTGATTGAGTTCTAGGAAGTCAGTGTGAATTGGCTTTATGTTCCCTCCCTCCAGACCCCATTCTCCTGCCTCAGCATCACTCTCTAGACCATTAAGTTGTTACTGTCAGGGAGGGATAGGCTTCAGCCAACAGCATAGCTATTCTACAGCATGCAAGCCATTACTGTAGGTTAATTCCAGCCAAAAAGATGAATTGGCCAGCCTTGCTCCACATGGCATCATGAGGTTCAGGGGAAGAGGGACTCAGAGCCTGCTACCTTCCCCGAGCCCAGCCTGGTCCATTTCCTTTCCCAGAGTTCAGTAGAGTGGTTAGGAGCTGGGTGCTGTCCATGAGTTACCTTGTTTTATCCTCACAGCAACCGAGGTGCTGCTATTATCCCTGTTTTACAGTAATGAAGCCAAGGATCAACGAAGTTTGTTGGTTTGTCCAAGATCATCCGTCTTGTAAATAACAAAAACAAGATTTTACCTAGATCTAACAAACTCCAAGCGATGTATATTAGCATGGCTTAAAACAGTAGAAATATATTATCTTACAGTTCTAGAGGCTAGAAGTCTAAAATCAAGGTGTCTACAGGGTCATGTTCTTCCAAAGGCTCTAGAGAAGGATCCGTCCTTGCCTATTTTAGCTTCTGGTGGTTGCTGGCAGGCCTTGGAGCTCCTTGGCTTACAGACAGATACAGCATTCCATCTCTGCCTCCATCTTGGTGTGGCCTTCTCCCCTGTGTGTCTGTATCTCTGTGTCCACATTTCTCTCTTCTTATAAGGACACCAGTCATACTGGATTTAGGAAACACCCCAATCCAGTATGACCTCATCTTAACTTCATTACATAGGCAAAGGCTCTATTTTCTTTTTTTTTTTTTTTTAACCCAAAAATTGTCACACTCCTAGGAACAGAGAGGCCATTCTGGGCGGGTCTGTCGTGCATTAGGAGAGCCTTTCTCTGCCTCCCTGAAAACACGCCAAGCACACACTGGACCCGTGTGGTTAAGCAGAGCTGAGAGACCATGGCTATGCCCCATGCGTGGACCACCTACCTACTGAAGTTGCCCAGGGTGGCAGTGCAGCCCCGGGCTGAGGTGTAGCAGTCATCGATACCACAAAGGCTCTATTTTCAAATATGCTCACATACATAGGTTCCAGAGGGTAAGACCTGAATACATCTTTTGGGGGGAGACAATTGAACCTATAGCACCATATTTTCCCTATTATATTTGCTGCTTCAGATGAAAGATCATTAAAACATCAAATCCTTCACTCTCAGACATTATTTGTTCTTAGTTTTGCTTGAAGACACTATTGTGTGGTGGACAGAAACAAGCCTGGTTCTTGAGCTGTGGGCTGTAGCTCAGCTCTGCTAATCACTGGAAGGGACTACTCTCATTTGCTCCCCCAGGGCCTCAGTTTCCTCATAATTAATATATAGAAGTTACACTAGATGGGTGATAAGGTCTTTCTCCAGCCCTAGATACTGATGTGATGGACTACAAAGGCTATAAAGACAAAATATCATACAGCACCTCTCTCTGTCCAAATTACAGCTATTTTAACCCCATTTGATAATATTTACTTAGCACTAGATATCCATCTCTAATTATATTGCTTTTTTAACTCCTCAGGGACAATGATCACACCTGGCACCTAGTGTGGCCTGAAGAAATGCTTGTTAAATAAACAATATAATAGAGTGATAGGAACTCAGGAGATAGGGAATTCGAACGTTGAATTATGTTGGCTTGCTCACTGAGTGCTGCATGGGTTTGCCTTGTTTTCCCAAAGGGAGTGTAAGCTTCCGGCCAACAGAGCTGTCCTCTGTTCTTTACAATGCCTGAGATAGGGCTAGAGAAAGTAGAGGTGCAATACATAGTTAAATTCCCCACCCCTTATTCGTTTTTACATAAACACATACATGTGATCCTATCATTCCTGCTGGCTGTTTTTCATGGTTTTCTTTTGTTTGGTTCCACCTTTCATGTCTCCTCCATCCTCTTCAGCACCCACCACCACCCAAAATCTTGCTGGGTAGTTGATGTTAACAACCTGGTATGTTTCTTTCCATATTTTGCTCCGTACATGCAGACTCATATGGGCACATATACATGTACAGAAGTATTCATGTACATAAGAGGAGGGTTGTTTGTCATTGTTTTATACAATAGGAGCATGTTACAGATGCTTTAAAGGCTGAAGTATCTTGCTTTTCTCAATCAATAATACCTGGTGGAAATCCACCCAAGTCCATTGATGTAACTCTAATTTGTACTTTTAATGGACGCACAATATATCATGGTGTGAGCATACCGTAATTTATTCAGTGACTGCCTAGCAGATGGGCAGTATTTGATTTATTGATCACTTGCTCTTGAGGAAGAGAGTTGCTGAGAATTTGCTGATCTTACTGCCAAAGTACACTCCTTGTCCCCATTTTACCGCCATCCCTCTTCCCCCTTCCCCACCCAGGTGTTCACATGAGCCTGCCAGCACTTGGAGTTCTGATTTCTCCCACCCAATCTAAATCCACTTGGTTCTCAATGTTTCATCTTTAATGGGATCTGAGGCTTTTAAAAATGGAATCCAGACTTTCTGGGCTGTTTCCAAAGGAGATAACTTTTTACTTAATGGCATCAACCCCGGTAATCCTGCCTGAAATCTAATCAACACATCAGACAAGGGAAGAGAAGGCTGTGTCTGGAGTGAAATGGAAGGCGCCTTCTATAATAAGATGTGCCTCCTCTTGATTAAGAGCCCTGAAAGGAGTGGAACAGGGAGAGAAAATTTTTCAAAGTCCCTTCCTCGTACGGAAAGGTAGCAGAGCCAGTGGCCAGAACCCTGGCCCGGGAGTCAGGCCTCTGAGCTGAAGCTGTCTGCCTGGGGTTCTTCCCAGAGCCTCCTGTCTTCCAGGGCATCAAGAGAGCAGCAACTTCGAAGTTTCTTATTTATTTTTAGAAATTTTTATTGTAAAATATACCATCTATACATAAAAGTACAGTATTGCATCACTTAACCATGGGAACAGAGTCTGAGAAATGTGTCCTTGGGCAATTTCATCGTTGTGCAAACATCAGGGTGTACTTACACAAACCCAGATGTTGTAGCCTACTACACGCCTAGGCTGCATGGTAGAGCTTATTGCTCTGAGTCTACAAGCCTGGACGGAATGTTCCCATATTGAATATGTAGGCAAGTGTAACACAATGGTAAGAATTTATGTATTTAAACATATATAAACATAGAAAAGGTACAGTAAAAATACAGTGTTATAATCTCATGGGACTACCATTGTATATGTGATCCATCACTGACCAAAATGTCCATATGCACTGCATGACTGTATATAAAACCTAAATGTTGTGAAGAGCTTAATGGATTACTGTAAGTGATCATCTGTGCAACCACCTCCAGGTCAAGAAACCTGCAGAACACCATCTGGACTCAAGGAGCCCTATCAGGCTTTTTCCTGATTATAACTCATTCCTTCCTCACTAAAGACAGTGGTATCCTGACTTTTATGAGAACCACCTCTTTGCGTTTATTTAAAAAAAAATAGTGTAGCTTCTTTTGTGTAATTATATATATATATATATATATATATAAAAATATGTAACTTTTGCCTTTTCTTATTGAGTTATACACATACTTGGCATTTTCAGTCTCTGTAACCTTTCTGATGGGCATATAGTGGTACATTATTGTGGTATTAATTTGTGTTTCCTCTCAGCGGCATTGAATCTTAACATGTACGACTTAAAGGGCCCTTAAAGACTATTTACTTTAATCTCTCCCTTCGGAGGAGGGAAAAAACCAACAGCACAGATGGAGAGAGGAGTGACTTCCAGTGTCTCCCGGTTAGTTGGCATCAGAGCTCAGTGGAGAAGCGCAGGAGAGCTGCCATCTGATCCGGGAGTGTCTTGCAAGGGTTATGCCTTACCCTCTTCTTTACTCCACTCGCCCAAGACAGCCAGCCATTTGTGTATACCCTATGCCTGTAGTCTGCTCATCCACTTCTAGCCTTTGGCTCCAGACTGTGGGACTGTGGGTTCCAATCCAGACTAACAATTTATTAGCTGTGAAATTTTGGCCAATTCACTGTGATGGTTAATTTATGTGTTAGACGGGCAAGGCTGCAGTGCCCGATGTTGAGTCAACAGTGTAGATGTTGCTATGAAGGTATTTCCTAGATGTGGCTAACACAACCAGTAGAGGCTGAGTCAAGCAGATTACCCTCCATCATGTGTTGAGCGTCATCCAATTATTTGAAGGCCTTAAGTAAAGCAAAGACTGAGGTTTCCAGAAGAAGAAGGCATTTCCTTCAAGACTGCAACACAGAAACCCTGCCTGAGTTTCCAGCCTGCTGCCCTGCTGAATTCACACTCTAGACGGTAACATCAGTTCTTATCCGAATTTTCAGGCTGCTGGCGTGCCCTATGAATTCGGGACTTACCAGCACCCACAATCACGTGAGCCAATTCCTTAAAATAAATCTTTCTCTTTCCTGTTGATTTTGTTTCTCTGGAGAATCCTGACCAATACATTCACTTCATCTTTCAAGCCTAGGTTTGCTCATCTATAAAATAGGAGATAAAATCAATCTTGCAAAGTTGTTGTGTGGATCAGATACAATGCATATAAAATCCCTAACAGATATTTAATGGGGATTTAATAAATGGCTATTTCTTTACAACACTAATTTACATTAAATAGAGAAAGTTATGTGTGCTCAGGTTGGAAAAAAAATTAGTAAAACAAATGGTATAAAATGAAAAATTAGGCTGGGCGCGGTGGCTCACACCTGTAATCCCAGCACTTTGGGAGGCCAAGGCGGGCTGGTCATGAGGTCAGGAGATCGAGACCATCCTCACTAACACGGTGAAACCCCGTCTCTACTAAGAATACAAAAACTTAGCCAGGCGTGGTGGTGGGTGCCTGTAGTCCCAGCTACTGGGAGGCTGAGGCAGGAGAATGGCATGAACCCAGGAGTAGGGGGTTGCAGCAAGCGGAGATCGTGCCACTGCACTCCAGCCTGGGTGACAGAGGGAGACTCTGTCTCAAAAAATAAATAAATAAATAAAAATAAAACGAAAAATTAGTATCTCTTGTAGCTCAGAGAAAACTACTTTTTTTTTTTTTTTTTTTTTTGAGACAGAGTCTCCCTCTGTTGCCCAGGCTGGAGTGCAGTGGCGTGATCTCGGCTCACTGCAAGCTCTGCCTCCCAGGTTAACGCCATTCTCCTGCCTCAGCCTCCTGAGTAGCAACTACGCCCAGCTAATTTTTTTTTTGTATTTTAGTAGAGACGGGGTTTCACTATGTTAGCCAGGATGGTCTCGATCTCCTGACCTTGTGATCCACCCGCCTTGGCCTCCCAAAGTGCTGGGATTACAGGCGTGAGCCACTGCACCCAGTGAGAAAACTACTCTTAATGGTGACTTTTATTTCTTCTAGAAAATTTATATGCAAAAACCTAATACAAATGGAAGCATGCTATACCAACAGTTTGGAGCCTTCATTTTAGATAAAAATATGTAATGCTTATAAAATTATCTGCACAAGGCCCAGACTCTGAGCAGTGTCCTGACCAGAAACATCCACAGCAACCAAAAGTTAATCTAGAGAAACTCAAGTTGGTCATTGTATTTTTTGAACCACATATAGGATTTGTCTTAGAAAATCCTTTCTCTGGTGGCTGGGCGCGGTGGCTCATGCCTGTAATCCCAGCACTTTGGGAGTCTGAGGCAGGCAGATCACCTGAGGTCAGGAGTTTGAGACCAGCCTGACCAACATAGAGAAACCCTGTCTCTACTAAAAACACAAAAAAATTAGCCAAGCGTGGTGGCGCATGGCTGTAATCCCAGCTACTTGGGAGGCTGAGGCAGCAGAATCACTTGAACCTGGGAGGCGGAGGTTGCGGTGAGCCGAGATTGTGCCATTGCACTCCAGCCTGGGCAACAGGAGCGAAACTGTCTCAAAATAATAATAATAATAATAAAATAAAATAAAAATCCCTGACGGATATTTAATGGGGATTTAATAAATGGCCATTTCTTTAAAAACACTAATTTACATTAAATAGAGAAAGTTACATGTGCTCAGGTTGGAAAAAAATTAGTAAAACAAATGGTATAAAATGAAAAATCAGTATCTCTTGTAGCTCAGAGAAAGCTACTCTTAATGGTTACTTTTATTTCTTCTAGAAATTTTCTATGTAAAAACCTAACACAAATGGAAGCATGCTATACCAACAGTTTGGAGCCTTCATTTTAGTTAAAATTATGTAATGCTTATAAAGTTATCTGCACAAGGCCCAGACTCTGAGCAATGTCCTGACCAGAAACATCCACAACAACCAAAAGTTAATCTAGAGAAACTCAAGTTGGTCATTGTAGTTTTTGAACCACATAAAGGATTTGTCTTAGAAAATCCTTTCTCTGGTGGCTGGGCGCGGTGGCTCATGCCTGTAATCCCAGCACTTTGGGAGGCTAAGATGGGTGGATCACTTGAAGTCAGAAGTTCAAGACCAGCTTGGCCAACATGGTGAAATCCCATCACTACTAATAATACAAAAAAATTAGCCAGGCATGGGGGCACACGCCAATAATCCCAGCTACTCGGGAGGCTGAGGCAGGAGAATCGCTAATAAAAATACAAAAAATTAGCTGGGCATGGTGATGCGCCTGCAAACCCAGCTGCTCAGGAGGCTGAGTCAGGGGAATCATTTGAACCTGGGAGGTGGAGGCTGCAGTGAGCCGAGATCACGCCGCTGCACTCCAGTCTGGGCAACAGAACAAGACTCCGTTTAAAAAAAGAAAGAAAGAAAATCCTTTCTCTTGGCTCACACCTGACTCCACTTGGCTCCACACCTGAGCTGACCTGCGTTTCCTCCTTCAAAATTCCCTAAAAAACTTCTCTCTCAGTGTGGGTCCTGCTTCCTCCTTTCTTTCTCTTGCTCATTCTCTCCTCCCCCATAGGAAAAGCTCCAGAAACTCCCCTAGCAAGGCTGGATCTCTCCAAGCTTCAGAAAGAGGAAGACAACTGAACAGGCAGGGCTCGCATCTTCTTTAGAGGCGGTGGAGTTGGGGGACAGCTGGTAACAGGATAGATAGCAACAACCACCTTGAAGATAATGCACGAAGTGTCGGCACTGCACAGTACATGAATGATCTCACTTAACTCCCGTGCAAACCCTATGCCATGGCTGCTATTATCATTCACGTTTACAGGATGAGGAAACTAATGCTCATGCAGGGTGAGTAGTTATGTTAGGGCATGTGTAATTTAGATAGCTAGTGTGTACAGAGACTAGGGTAAAACCTATGACAGTAGAGAGATTCCTGCTTACATGCTAGTAGGTTTTGTCCAGTCCCGCTTTCCCCCTGTTGACTTTTCTATGGACCTTCCCAAATGTCTAATGATGCCTCCTATTATATTTACAGGTGAAAGCCTCCCTTCCCTACATCATAATCATCAGAGCATATTTAATTCCTCTCTGGGAGGGAGCCCTTTGGGAACTGCTGGCGGGAGCCTAAATGAGTCCTCTTACCTCCTTCTTACGTGCCTAGGCTGGAGGTGGCATGGCATCATAAAAGCTAAAGTCTTAAGGTCTTTCAATCTGTATCTTCTTCAAATTTCAGCATCTTAGTTTTGCAAAGAAAACGGAATATGAGAGCAACCTTAAATGCCCTTATTTGTCACCCTTAAATGTCCCTATTTGTCAAAATCCATGTAACTATGAGGCCTATGGTGGTTTTAAAATAGGTCCACAAATTCTTTAACCCTTCTCCCATCTAAAGATGGAAGCTATTTCTCTTTCTCTTAAATATGGGTAGGACTTAGTGTTATGTATTATAACAAACATAATGGGGCAGAAATGATACTCTGTGACTCCCAAGGTTATAAAAAGCATGAAGTTTCTGCCTGGCCCTCTTTCAGGAGCCTGGCCCTTGGACAGCCACCATACTCTGCAGAAGCCCAGGCTGCGTGGAGAGGCTGACGCTGGTGTCTGGCCAACTGTCCCTGCTGGGCCTTCAGCCTGTAGTCAGCATCAACAGTCAGGCGTGTGAGTGAATGAGTCTTCAGATAATGCCAGCCCCAGCCTTTGCTTCTTCCAGCCATGACCCCAGACATAGTGGAGCAAGGACAAGCCATCCTCACTGTGATGTGCCCTGTCTGAATTTATGAGCCATGGAAACTGTGAGAGGTAAATTATTATTGTTTTAAGCTACTAAGTGTTGAGGCAATTTGTTAGGCAGCAAATAGACAACTAATACAAAGCCATTTCCAACCTCTTGAGTGAATGACTGGAGCACAGTTTTCTCATTTATTGACTATTCTGCTAGATGGAAAGCAAATTATAGACTCCTGTCCAATGCTTGACATTCCTGGGCCTAGGACCCTGCTTGTCTACACCCACTAAGACCTGGAGTATCAGGGACCTGCCTTGGTTTCAATGGAGGCTTGCCTGGACCCTTCAGATCGGAGCTCCATTTGTCATCCTGCTTCTTTCTGGCTGCTAGAGTTGCTTCTCTTCTTCCTCAGCTCCCTGGTACTCATGGTAGATGGTGACTGAGCAGAACAATGGGAGCCGATACCTTGGTTTATTCATCTCTGCTGCATACCATTTGCTATGGTCTGAATGTTAGTGTCTACCTACAAATGTATTTGTTGAAATCCTAACACCCCAGATGATGGTATTAGGAGGTGGGGCCATTGGGAGGTGATTAGGTCATGAGCCTTCATGAATGAGATTGATGCCCTTACAAAAGAGACCCAGGGGAGCTCTTTCACCCCTTCTGCCATGTGAGGACACAGTGAGAACACCATCTGCAACCCAGAAGAAGCTCTCGCCAGAATCTGACCATGCTGGCACCCTGATCTCAGGCTTCCCAGCCTTCAGAATTGTGAGAAATAAATTCCTGCTATTTGTAAGCCATCCAGTTTATGGTATTTTGTTATAGCAGCATGAACTGGCTAAGACTCCATTGCAGCAGGAACTCAGTGAGGGCATGTGTGGACCTCCAAGCCTTGCTTGTAGGTCCCAGGCAGAAAGCACCCTGCAATAGTTACAGGAGATGTCAATGTTCCCCAAGTCCCTGCTGTAAGGTTATGAATTCAGCATATCAGCCCCAATTGCTATCTATGCTGCCATATGCTCCTTTGAGAGTGGTGAAGGAGACCTGCCCAGAAATGCTCTCCCACGTGGCTCTGGGACTGCCAGCTCCCCTTTGGGTGGGACCTTGCAGATGCTCATGTGGGCAGCAGCATCTCTGCTCTGGAGCCTGTTCAGCCTTGTGTTATTTCTGGGGCATGTTCTAACCCTTTCCCAAACATGTTCTCTGTTCCCTAGCACAGGACTCGCTGCTAGTCCTTCTAATTTCCAGCGGAAAGCAGTCTGTTTTGACGCTTCCCAGGTGTTCAGTCCCATAGGAGCAGCTGAGTCCTCAAGGCAGCAGCCGGTAGGCAGGCAGTTTGCCGTCCTTGAACCAGCCTGACCATCTGACTGTGCTACTGCAAGGGAGTGTTAGAGACTTTCTCAATTTGGTGACTCATACTCATCCTCCACTTGGAACATCCAGTTCTGAACCTTGCCGTCTCCCAGAAATTGTCATTCTAGCCTCAGCCTCATCTCTACAATGTCCTTTTGGCTTCCCAGTGATGTTCCAGGAAACTTGTTCATGCCGGGTCATCTGTCTCCCGTTTCAGGCAGCCAGCATGGAAATGGAATTTTGGCTCCCATCCAGGGGGATGATTTTAATTCAGGATGCAACTGGGCGCTGCCCTTTGACTTCAAAGCCACCCACGTGGTACAGATATAGAGTGGTATAAGGATTAATGAAATACGGTGTATCGTTCTACTTCATTTAATGGCTGCATCATGTACCATGTATGTACCATAATTTGTTTAACTAATCCCCTATTGAAGAACATTAAGGTAATTATTATTGTTATTAGATGAGCAGCTGAACCTTGGAAACACACTCTTAAATGCTTTCCTTCTGAGGAAAATGAAGGAGCTGGCTGTTTCTTATCAAGAGGATCATGCCCCTTGGAGATGATTATGCCCCAGCCTGAGACACGCTGATATCCTCACAGGCTGTTCCCAATGGGAGGGGGCCACTCAGGGGCACTGGGGTGGGAAAAGATTGGCTGTCGCCACACCCTTTAAGGAATGGATTTTCCAACCAAGGACAGTGAAGGGCAAGCCTCTAAAATGTCCACTAATGAAAGAGTAACTACAATGTTCTTGTATGCTGCTCTGATTATCATCATCCCCAGAGCCTTCCTGTACCCTGCCATGGACTGTGTCTTCCTGGAAGTGCTTGTGGTTTGATGTTGCCTCCTTGCAGATGTTCAGAAAGGACTGCTTGCTGGAAAGGAGAGAAGCTGAGAGATGACCACATTCCTCCTGGATTAATATGGGCTCCGGTGGCTCCTCCCTGTGATGTGCCGTGCTCCGTGCCTTGGGACCTTACTATGTCATCAAAGGCAGCCACATTTATGCAGACATAAGGGAAGCCAGAATCTACAAGAACCGTCCCTCCAGGAGGGAAACACTCCACTGAACAGTGTCAAATGGACCTCTTCAGAACCTGGACTCGATGGGGGACCACAGAGAGACAGCCATGGAAGCAGAGGGCAGCTGCCAGCAACTATTGCTGCCATGTGCCAAACACGGTTCTTAACATCTCACGCCTCAACTCTCTTTAATCTCATAACAACCCTATGAGGTAGGTGCTGTTGTCCCCATTTTGCAGATGAAGAGGCTGAGGCACAGGAAGATTAGACACCCATCCCAAAGCAAGAACCCGATGGTGCTGGATGTGAACCCAGGCACTGTGACTCAGGCTCCTACCACTGCACTGAGTGTCTTTCAATGTAGTTGAAGTAGAGGTGGTCACAGCAGAGAGCAGTCAAGAGGAGACAGAAACTGAGAGATGGATACAGAGCTTTGTGATCAGCAGGGGACTAAGGACATCCATTTCTGAGGGGACAACAAAGTGACCAGGCCACCATAATAACCCTGAAGGACAAGAATTTTGTTCCTGTGCACCGGTGGGTAGTGGGACATCTGAATGGATGGCTTCCCAAGCTCTGCAGCCTCAGGTAACAGGAGCCAGTCTTTGTTTCCTGTGGCTTGGAAGAGCCTAACTTGTTTTATTGTTAATTGTGCAGATAATCATTGAGTTAAATGGTCACAGAGAAAGAAAAAAAAAGGGATGCCCAGGCGTGGTGGCTCACGCCTATAATCCCAGCACTTTGGGAGGCTGAGGTGGGCAGATAATGAGGTCAGGAGTTCGAGACCAGCCTGGCCAGCGTGGTGACACACTGTCTCTACTAAAAATACAAAAAATGAGCTGGGCATGGTGGTGCGTGCCTGTAATCCCAGCTACTCAGGAGGCTGAGGCAGGAGAATCACTTGAACCCCAGAGGTGGAGGTTGCAGTGAGCCAAGATTGCACCACTGCACTCCAGCCTGGGCAGTAGAGGGAGACTCTATCTCAAAAAAAAAAAAAAAAAAAAAAAAAAAAAAAAAAAAAAAGGTTAGGGTAAGTAAACCAACAGCTCCAGGGCCCAGCTGAACAGCAGATCAAAAGACAAAGGAATTCCATATCTTGGGACTTTTAAAATTGGACCACACCACCTTGGCGACTACAGTAGTAGTCTGTGCATCAACAACTACCAATTATTTTCGATTACATTGTGTTTCACAGTTTCAATAGTTGTTCATGTCCTGTATTTACTTAATTGTCACGTCAGCCCAAGGAGTCATACCAGGTAGGTATTGCTATCTCCATTTTACAGATAAAGAAGCTGAGGCCCAGGGAAGATGTGAATTGCAAAGGGTCTTGCAACTAGGGAGCAACGAAGCCAGAAAGAGAACCAACACATCATTTTCATTCTTAGTTCCAAAGTACCAGTAGGACCAATGGGAGCCGGGTTATGTTGGCTCATGAGACACAAGTGTGCACACCATTCCCAACTCCACATTTAGGGATATCACTTTGGTAGCCTGAAATCAGTCATGGTAAGATTATTTACACCATGGGAATTGTCGAATGCTGCAAATCAGGGTTCCCCAACTCCCCCTGCTACACCACACGGCTGAGAATATCCTGATAATTTCTTAAGTTGGTGCTAAAGAATATTTTATGGTCCTTAAGATCAAAGTTGATGCATAATAACCAAGATAGGGAAGTGCTGTCTTTCCAACCATTTCAAGTTCCCGTATTGTGGCGCAGAAATCATAAGAACTAATATTTATTTTGTGCTTGCTAAGTGCCAGTCTCTGGGCTATATGCTTTATACATCATCTAATTTATTCCTTATCATAACCCTTTTCTAAAGATGAGGACGTTTGAAAAGTTAATTGCTTAAGGTCACACAGCCAGAAAGGGGTGAAACTGGGATTCAAATCTAGGTTTCTCTGCTTCTCAATCATGGAGCCACCATCCTAATTACTACTATTATTTCATAAGCAGACGTCTGTTTTATGGCACCCTATCTTCCTCCATCTTGTAAACATATAATGGAATTATAACTAAAATCAATCAAGACAACTAATTTCTAACACACAATGAATATTTTAAGGGCGACCTCAAATCTCAGTAAAATTCCATAACCGATTAGGCCATTTTAGCAATTTATGCTCATGGTCTATAGAGAATGTCAAAATTAATATTCTGCTCTCTTATTATTTTGACCATCAGAGATATTTTACATGATAATTGGCTCTTAACAGCTGCAATCCAATTTAATTTATTTATGAATACCTTGTATTTATATTTTATGGATATTATTTTAATTATTAAATCACTACATCTTAGAATGAGAAGTAATTTTGTTATAGAGCAAATATTCTTCATGTTGACATCCCTAATGTCATTTTAAAAGTGTATGAGGATAAAAAGATCGCCTAGGTTTCAAAGACAAAATGTATTACATTTTGCTGAACATTTTTTCAGAAAATAAATACTTCACATGCAGAACTATTTAGAGAGCTAAAGTAACAATCTTGATGATTAAGGAAAAACCACCTGCTAATGCGCTTTAACCTGGACTATCCCAGAATTAATATCCTAATTCAGAGATGTGGGCTGACTGGAATTAGACAGCTGAGCCAGGAGGGCAGTGGATCTGGGGTTTATAGTAGAGACCTGGCTTCAAAGCCCAAGGCTGCCATCATCAGTCTCTATGACCTTGGGTGAGTTACTGAACCTACTCTAATCATAGGTTTCCCATTTAAAAAATAGGATTAACAATACCTACCAAACAAAAGGGTTATGGTGAGGATAGGACTGGCTCTATACTTTGCAGGTGCAGTGTAAAGTGAAAATGCAGGATCCTTTGCTCAAAAAGTATTACAAATGTCAGGAGAACAACAGCAGAACACTAAACCAAGCACAGGGCCCTTCTGAGTGCGCAGCCATGTGCAGCAGCAAGGTCATGTATGTCTTCAAGACGATGGTGAGGATTACATTACATGTCTCATCCCCCTTGGGAAAGTGCATCCCCCTTGGGAAGCGCCTGAAGAATGGCAACTATTTGTGTTTTGGCCACCTTACTTTTACTTTGGCTCAGTGGGCCACCTTACTTTGCCACCTGAAATCTAAGAAAAAAGTTATTGTTTTAAAAGATAGGCACAGGTCAAGCTTTACAGAGCAGGTTTTTAGATATCAAGGGCTCAACAGATTCAGAGCAGAGTGGGTCATAGGACCCAGGAGGGGGCCCAGGCCCAAGGCTGATGTACCCCCAATATCCTTTTTCTTCAGTTGTATGTCAATTTTTGAAAGAGAAATAGAGAACGCAGGATTCTGTTTCCTAGCGAAGGTCTTGAAACCATGAAGTTAATCTCATTGGGCTTTGCACTACATTGAATTAAACTCCTAATTCTAATTTCACCAAATAGGGTTACCGAAAGAACAGGAAGTTATGCTTGATAACTGAGTTCCACTGTCCAGAGGGAGTTAAGAGGGAACAGAAAATCAATTTTGTGACTGCTGAGAAGCGGGTAAAGCTATTCCAATATGCTGGGGGGAGGTTGTTTCTTTGTAATGAGGCAAACACATTTCTGACAAGAAATTTTTCATGTGGAGGCAGGCCATAATGTTCTTCTAAATATGTTTTTGGGGCCAGGTGCTGTGTCTCACGCCTGTAATACCAGCATTTTGGGAAGACCGAGGTGGGAGGATTGTTTGAGCCCAGGAGTTTGATGCCAGCCTAGGCAACGTAGTGAGACCCTGTCTCTACCAAAAAAAAAAAATTAGCCAGGCATGGTGGCACGTGTCTGTGGTTCCAGCTACTTGAGAGGCTGAGGTGGAAGGATTGCCTGAGCCCAGGAGGTGGAGGCTGCAGTGGGCCGTGATTGTGTCACCACACTCCAGCCTAGGCAACAGAGAGAGATCTTGCCTCAAAAAAAAAAAAAAAAAGAACAAAATGTTTGGGGGCATTCTCTCCATCGTGGGCTGATAGAGGCTCTGCTGATTTTCTTTGTTCTTATGTACTCCAGGAAAGAGCCCCTGACAAGACTAGGGATTGGAAAGGTGAATGTACCTGGGATTGAAGAATTCTTCCATCTTGCATAGGTATTCCAAAGAGCTCCTTTTTGGGTGACTTTTCCTAAAAATGCATAAATGTGCAGCTTCTCCCCAAAGCCTACCACTTAGACTCTCATAGTTCTCCACTTTCTTCCCTGGGCCAGAAGGGACCACCCCAGCTTCTTGATGGCTGTAGAGCACCCTTCATTTTGCACATGGCTGTGTTTTCTATGTAAATAGTGACTTAGTCTTCTGGAGGGTCCTGCACAGCCTTTAGCATCGTGCCTTAGACGTAGTTGGCACTCAATCATGATTTGTTGAATGAATATATTCCTATGGCACTGTTTCTTTTATCTACTTAGTTTTAGCATGCCCTACAGACCATAAGCCCCTTGAAGCATTCACTTATAAAAATATTTATTGAGCACCTGCTATGCAGGTAACAGGCAAATTCTGAAAACAAAAGGAATGAATGTGGATTAACCCTATCAAATACTAAAGCATATGCTATTCTACAATTATTAAATTCTGGCTATATATGTAATTCCAATGATTATAAATAATGTGCTGTAATATAAAGACATTAAAAGTAATTTATAATGTTACTTATATGCATGTATTACAATGTGTAGATGCTTAAACACACCACATTATGAGAAAAAAATGCCTCTGTTGCATTTCCACAAGTCCCCTCAGGGAGGTGGGTGGTCCTGCTTCCTATCCAGTCTATGGGAAGGGGGAGTAGGTGCCAGGGATCATTCCTGGGGCTGGGGCTTCTCAAAGTACCTTAACTTTTACCCTCTCACCCCTTGTGATGACCTCTCACCTCCAGCCCCATACACCAACAAGGAATAAGGTGAAGCATCCAGGATATGTCCAACTCTTTCCTCCCTCCCCTGCAAAGTGCTGCCTTTACTGGGCCAGGGAGATGTAGCAGAAGGACCTGGAAGGCCCTGATACCCTGGGTCTCAGGCTCTGGGGAGATGCAAGCCATAAGGGCTGTCTGTTCTTTCTGGAGGGCACAGGAAGAAAGCAGGGGGGTTTTCTCAGCTGTTTCACTCATCTCTCCCCTCTCCTGGAAGGAAGTAGGCCCTGCACTCTCCAGCCCTGACTCCAGCTGGCTGTGTGGCCCTCTTTGGGGCTGGCTGGCTGGTCCTTAGGTATGGTCCCTGATGATCTAAACTGGTGATTAGAGTGGATTCACAGCACTTCTAAGGTTGCGGCAGATCCAGTTGAGGCTGGGTTTGATCCCTACTTGGGTTTGCAAATGGGCATTGGGGAGGGATGGTGATGTCAGAGTCTGACGGGGGGCCCCAAATCCTCAGTCATCAGATGCTTCTGCCCTCCTGCAGCCAGAGACTCACATGCTTGTTATGAAGCAACCACAAGAGTGGTTACTGACAGCGTCAGGGGCTGGGGTTGACACAGGACAGCAGAAGGAGCAAGACCTGTCACTTGGGTCAGGTACTCTGCCCCTTTCTTCTCAAGGGCAGAGGAGTTACTCGGAAGAGTTACAGGTGCCCTTCCCCAAGTGATGCCACTGGCCATGGCACCCTTCTTGGGGTCTTTGCTCAAGTCCAAGAACAGGAGTTCTTTGGCCACTGGGGAGTTGTATTCAAGCCCATGAAGCAAGTCTCAGAATCATTCTCTGGGTTTCCTCGTACAGGGCAGGAGCCTGCTCTGAGCTGGTTCTTGGGACTGAGCATTCCCCTGGGGCCACCAGCAGCTCACTGATGGAGCAGGGGCCTGGGGTGGCTGGCCTCTTCTTTACTGGTCTGGCATCTCCTCTGGCCTAAGCTGGGTGTGCTCACTGCTTTAGTGAGGAAAATGCCAACACATTTAGACCAGAACGTGGTCCAATGACTCTCCCTGCTGACCACGTGCTGGACTGCATGGATTTGCAGAAGGAAATGCCAATCTGTTTTCTCTCACTTGGAAGGGAGAGGGGGCTATTTTTTTTTTTTTTTTTTTTTTTTGAGATGGAGTCTCACTCACTCTGTCGCCCAGCTGGAGTGCAGTGGCGCTTGGCTCACTGCAAGCTCCGCCTCCCAGGTTCATGCCATTCTCCTGCCTCACCCTCCCGAGTAGCTGGGACTACAGGCACCCACCACCACGCCTGGCTAATTTTTTGTATTTTTAGTAGAGACGGGGTTTCACCATGTTGGCCATGATGGTCTCAATCTCCTGACCTCGTGATCCGCCTGCCTCGGCCTCCCAGAGTGCTGGGATTACAGGTGTGAGCCACCGCACCTGGCCGACTTTTTTTTTTAAAGCATTGTATTTGTTAATTTTTGCTTCATAACAAATGAGTGGCTTAAAACAATAAAAATTGATCATGCACAGTTTCTATGGGTCAGGAATTTGGTGGTTACTATGGTCTGAATGTTTACATCCTCCCTAAATTCCCATGTTGAAACAGAATCCCCAGTGTAATGGTATTACGAGGTGAGGCCTTTGAGAGGTGGTTAGGTCATGAGAGTGGAGCCCTTGTGAATGGGATTAGTGCCTTTATAAGGGGTGGAAGAGACCAGAATTTTTCCCATCCACCGTATGAGGACACAGCAAGAAGGCACCATCTGTAAGGAGGCAGGCCCTCACCAGACACTGAATCTGCTGGGGCCCTGGACTTCCCAGCCTTCAGGACTGTGAGAAATAAATGCTTTTTAGTTATAAGCCACCCAATTTATGTGTTTTGTTATAAGATCCCCCAATGGACTCAGACAATTTGGCTGGCCAGTTCTGGCTCTGGGTCTCCCATGAGGCTGCCATCGTACATCAGCCAGGGCTGCAGTCATCTCAAGGCCTGACTGGGGGCATCTTGGAGGCTGGATACCACAAGTACCTACCATGAGCTAGGTGGTGTACAAGTAATATATAGCAACAACAATCATAATGTACAATTGGAAGTTATTTCATGTTTACTATGTGTCCAGATGTTAAGTACTTTCCCTGAGTTACCTCCTTTATCTTCATAAAAACCCTACAAATTTGGTCTGGTTATCATCTCATTGAAGAGGTTAGAAAACTGGGGCTTAGAGGCCAGGCCTGGTGGCTCATGCCTGTAATCCCAGCACTTTGGTAGGCCGAGGTGGACGGATCATGAGGTCAGAAGATCGAGACCATCCTGGCCAACATGGTGAAACCCCGTCTCTACTAAAATTAAAAAAAAAAAAATTATCCGGGCGTGGTTGCACGTGCCTGTAATCCCAGCTACTTGGGAGGCTGAGGCAGGAGAGTCGCTTGAACCCAGGAGGCAGAGGTTGCAGTGAGCCGAGATCGCGCCACTGAACTCCGGCCTGGCGACAGAGCAAGACTCCATCTCAGAAAAAAAAAAAAAGAAAAACGAAAGAAAACTGAGGCTTAGAGAGGTTGGGTACTGCGGTCACACAGCTAGTAAGAGGTTGGGTCAGCATTCACACTCATAAGACTGTGCACTGTGTTCACCGTGCTTGAATGCCTCCCTAGGCATTTAGGATTAACAATCCAGGAGGTGTGCACAGATGAGGAAATTGAAGTTCAGGGAGGTCAAAAACGTGGTCGAGGTCACAGAATCAGTAAATGGCAGAGCCAGGATTTAAACAGAGGCCTGACTCCAGAGCTCATGCTCTGTCCTCTCCATCACATTGCTCCAGAACAGAGGAGACAGACACAGAAAGGAGAGAGTGCAAAAGAGCCAGGTAGCCAGTCCTTGTAGCACCTCCTGCTTGTTAGAAAAGGCATCCCCTTCAGGGTGGCTAGGTGCTTGGCTTGGCGAGCTCAATCCACACTCTCCTCCTTGGCCAGGCACTCCTGGTCGGGGCAAAATCTGAGTGTGACAGCCCTGGGGAAGGTGACAGGAGATGAATGGGAAAGAAGTAGCCGTAAGCAAAGGAGGATGCTTGCAGAAGAAAGACGAGAGAAAATAAACAGAAATAAAAGAGAAGGGAGAAAGAAAAATAAATTACCAGATGAGGAAAGAAGGGAAAAGAAAGGACAAAAAAACAACAACAGAAGGCCGGGTGTGGTGGCTCATGCCTGTAATCCCAGCACTTTGGGAGGAGGCCAAGGCTGGAGGATCACTTGAGCCCAGGAGTTCGAGACCAGCCTAGTCAACATAGGGAGACCCTATCTCTGCAAAAGTTTAAAAAAGAAAACAAAAAGAAAGAAAGAAAAATAAAAAAACAGAGCGAGCACATGGGGTCTGATTGGCCCTCCCAGGTGTAGGCTTGGGACCTTCTCCATATGTGGCAAGGGAGCCCACCAGGTTGGGGGAGCAGGAAACCCAGTGGAGAGCTTGAAGCCTCCTCTGACTCCAGCTCGCATATTCTTCCCCATGCCCTTGCCTTTCTGGGTCACTAGTCTGGGGAATTAGGGAGAAGAAAAGACACTCCAGCATGTATCTGGCCAGAAGAAAAATGTAGCTTCAGAGAAAATGCGGTGGCAGCAAGGTGAGTTGCCTCCTGGATAACACAGGGAAACCCAATTCAGAGGATAATTGCTAGAGTATCAGAGAGCTGATTAATTGATTAAATAGAAGACAAAATCGGCTGGGTTAGGTGGCTCACGCCTGTAATCTCAGTGCTTTGAGAGGCCAAGGCAGGAGGATCACTTGAGTCCAGGATTTCAAGACCAGCCTGGGCAACATAGAGAGACCCGTATCTCTACAAAAAAATTAAAAAGGAGACAAAATAGGAAAGCATGATTAATGGCTTCACCACTGTGCTTCTCTTTGCAGTTTGGTTCCCAAAGCAAATGGCTTCATTGGCAGGGTTAACGTTGATTATCACTGGCCACTGATGAATCAATGTCTGTTTGCCCTTGTGTATAAATTAGTCAATTCTCACTTTTCCCATGAGGGTATTGAGTGAGAGAAACCATCTGGAGGAGCTGCTAATTTGAAGTAAGTATAAAGAGTTATGAGACTTGGAGGCAGGAAGACCTGGATTTGAGTCCTAGTTCTGCCAGCAGCTAAAGATCAGGAACACCACAGCCACCCCATGGCTTCCAGTGGTCTCATGATCAGCTTTCAGTGGGCTGCTGCTCCTGAAAGCTGACCAGCCTCCTAGAGGCCAGTCTCTAGCAGGAGGGTTGAGCAGAAAAATCATTTTTTTCCTGCCTCCTGCCTTTCCCTGTTCCAGTAAGGTCTCACAATTGCCAACTGGCTTTCTAAAAAATATATTTGACCATTTCACTCTTCTACGTATAATCCTTCTATGGCTTCCATCACCGACAGCAGCAAATTCAAATTCCTGAGCATGGCAGGTCAGGCCCTTTGCAGTGTGCCCCCTCACTACCTTGTTAGTTTTGTCTTCTATCAGTTCCTGTGTACCTTGTTACTCTGGGCTTTTTCTTATGCTGTTAGCTCTTACTGAAACCACTTCTCCTTCTGCTTGCTTGGCACTCTGTTTCACCCTTCAGCTTCATCATCCATGTATCCATCCATCCATCCATCCATCCATCCATCCATCAGCCATCTAATTATCCACTCATCCAACCACCCACAAAACTCATCCTGCACTTATTTTAAAACTCTGTTTCAGTGCTTACCAAGCTTGTCTGCACACTGGAATCACCTGGTGAGGTTTGAAAAATGCTGATGGCGTGTTCCACCTTCAAAGATTGTGACTTAATTAGCCTGAAGTGGCCTGGCTTTGGAATTTTTTAAAGATACCTAGGTGAATCTAATGTGTAGACAAGTATTGAAGCTCTTGAAGACTTAGAGATAAAAGTTGGTTGAGACTAGAAATTTAGCATAGAAGGAGAAGTAGACCAGTAAATAATTGTACAACCATGTACACAAGTGCTATGAAAGGGGTAAGCCAGAGTTTCTCAGGAAGGGACACTGATGGGCATGAGAGATGGGTGGCCGGAGGAGTTGAGTCTTCGAGGACAAGTAGGAGAATTCCAGGGAAAGCAGGAAGTAGACATCCGAGTCAGAAGAAAGACCGAATGCAGCAGAGCAAGCTGGAGAGAGCGTGCCACTTTCGGGATGAACGAGGACTTGGCGTGACTGAAGCTTTGAGGGCAACGAACCTATGGAGGCAGATGGGGCCTCACAGGGCAGGGAGGGAAAAGCCAGTGAAGGCAGGTGTCATGGCTGTGACTGGTCCAACTATGCAGCTGTGAGGTAGGGGAGGTAAGGCAGTTGGTGGACTAGGAAGGAAGATGGTAGCAACTGGTGGTTAGGCCTTCCCTTCTCCAGAGAAGCCGTCCTCACATTTTCTCCACCCACATGCTCCTCCTCACGACAGAGATCCTGTGCATCTTTGTTCTTCTGGCCCACAGCTCTGTGCCTGGGAGAGCATAAATGCTCATGCCTCATCTCGCATGGTGAGGTAGGAAAAGCACAGGACAAAGAGCTTCAAAGGCAGACCAACTAGACTTAAGATCAATTCCATTCCTTTAAAATAGTGTGCTGTTGGATGAGTCAGCCATATGCTCTGAACTCGGTTTTCTCTATAAGAAAATGGAGATGATGCCAAGCTCATAAGCTTATTTTGAGGATTAGAAAAAGAGGTATGTCGGTGGTTCTGAAAGTGTGCTCTCTGGACTGGCAGCACCAGCATCATCTACTAGTTAGAAATGCAGGTTCTCAGGCCCCACCCAGCCCTGAGGAATCAGAATCTCTGGGAGTGCAGCCAGCAGGCTGTTCTAACACACCTTGTGGGTGAGGCTTATGCATGCTCAAATTGGAGAAACACTGATATATGTCAACTACTTCATCCTTGCTTGCTTTTCTAGAAGCCTAGCTACTCTTGAAAAGTGGAAAGAAACAACTGGCACCTCGCTCTGGGATCTGTACCAGTCCCTCCTTTTGTTTTCCTTCCCAAGTCTGGTTATGGCAGATGTGGGGCTTAGATGGTCAGGCTTGGAAATCAGGCATCTAAAAGGGAGTTCCACATCAGCTGTCTGTGCGCACACACACGCTTGACCTCTAAGTAAAACTGTGTGACCTTAACCTCTGAGCATCCATTTTCATCTATAAATGGGAGTGATGATAGTTATGGGCCAGTCATTGGTCTAAGCACTTTACATCTATTATCTCATTTTAGCCTCACAACAACCCTATGAAGGTAGTACTATTATTAACCCTGTTTTAGAGATGAGGGAACAGAGGTACAGAAAGGTGAAGAAACTTGCCTCAGGGCGTAGTGATCATGTGTGAAAGCTGGGATTCACGCACAGGCACTCCGGTTACAGGGTCCCCACTCTTTGCCAGTTTGCCTCACCAGGTTTTGAAAATATTACTACATTTGTAAGACGTTTAGCATACTCTGCTGTGCTTTGTTAAGGTGAAATGTCTCACCCTGGGTAGTCATGTCTCTGCTCCTCACAATGAGAACTTGGCTTAGTCACTTCACTTCTCCTGGCCTTAGGTTCCAAATGTTTAAAATGGGAGGTTAGACTAAATTAAAGAATATAAACTGAAGCCCCTAAGGCCCAAAGAATAAACTGTATTTGGCTAGAATTTTCTCTTAAATTGAAAGTGACCATCTTTAAGGGGTACATGCTCTTCCCTGCTCACCCCGTTAGCCCTGATTTCAGCTGTCTACCATAGGCCCACTTCTTGAGTGACCTGGCACCTGGAGGCATTTAAGTTGGAGATCACTGACACTGATCACAACCAATGGCTAAACCTGAGGTCCTACGGATTTACTATTCTTTGAATTTCACCTCCCTTCCTCCCTGCAATCCATCGTCATGCTTTACCTGGGATGTTTCTTGTGCAAAGGCAGCTCTGAGCCTTGACTCCTTGCCTCTCACTGTTACAGAAGCCCTCTGCTTGGCCTGGCTGCCAGAGGTGTCAGTGTTCCTATTGGCGTATGCCCCAAAATTGCTGATTTATATTTGTTTCTGCAAGGGAGACAGATAAAGCTTGTTTTAGGGTGTATAGTTAAGCCAATTTCAGAATCTCTTACACATGGAAATAGATTTATTTTCACTTAATCTGAAAGGCTTCCTTGTTTCTAATGCAGACATTAAGCAATTGCTGGAAGAGGAAAGACCTTTTATTCTGCTTCATGAGTTCATGCACCCCTACGCTGAATACCTTTCATTTCCTGCAGCAGGAATGCATTCAGTAATTTTACTGGCTTTGCAAATATCCTTCATCTGGCCGCTGGGAAACAGGTGCCAGGTGTTGTTCTATTACTATACTGCCTGACACACATAACAGGCACTCAAGCACTGCTGAATGGAGAAATGAACGGGAAAATTCTTTGCAGCAACTGGAGCCTACACTACCGGTTAAGTAACACTGAACCTCATTCAAGTTATTGTAATATATATCATTTTTAGAATTCCATACAGCTTATAAAGTCCTCACACATGTTCTCTAGAAATTATTTTTCATATTTTAAAGTCGAGGAAATGGAGCTTCCAGAGGTTAACTTCAAAGTCACACTGTGACATTTAATTTTCTGAGGCCTCAGGTTACCATTACCAAATTAAAAGCCAATATTAAAACATAGTTTTCGACAAAAAACATTTTTGAAGTTGTATAAGCTAAAGCTTTAGATACTAAAACAAACATTGCAGAAAAAAAATCATGTATCACAAAGAGGAAACAGTACTATTGCATCGCACTTGATAGTCTGCAAAGCATTTTCTCCATAATTCGATTCTGCCCAATGATGTCGTGCCATTGCAGTAAGACGGTCCCTTGCATCAGCTCCTGGTACTGCACCCTAGAGGACGAACAGCAACAAGAACTGACTGCCCCAACGTTTCTCTTTTCCAAAAGATAGGTTTGACTGGTGGTTGAGTGGAATTTCTTGCACACTCATGCCACCTACTGGTACTTTTCTGGTAGCAAAGCTTCCAGCTGATTTTTTTTTTTTTTTAATTAAAAACATTTTTTCAGTGTAAACTTTAGCAGGATCATTTGAATGTTTTACTCATTAGCCCATTTCTTAAAAATACCGTCCCCTCAAACTTTGAAACTCGCTTCCTGTTGCTGCCCTAAGGAGCCTTCTCTAACACAGAACCTGACTCACTTGAAAGGGACTGAAATATTTTATTCCTTTTGGCATATTGACAAGCTTCAGAAACGCCTCTGAACACCTTGCATTGGGCTGGGATCCTGGGGGAAGGGAGATGGGTTACGTGGGAAGAGATTACACTCGTGGAATTTTCTGGAGTTCACAGTAATGTCTCCACTTTGCCCAGTATTTCCTGGGAGGGCTCCAGGTAGAGTGGGATAGTTGAGAAGGTGGTGGCCAGCTCCTTCCATGGCAGTTTAACTGCTGGAAAAGAGGGAAATTCTAAGTGAATTCCAAGGAGTGGCGGAAGCCAACCTCCTCTCCTGGGTCGGGGGCATACCAGGGGATTTCTCAAACTGCACCAGTCCCTGAAAACCTCTGGTCTATCCTCAAGGACACAAATATCACCTGCAAAGCTGGGCTTTCAAATTAGCTTTGGATACAGGTTTTTAAAATTACTATATGGACTTTGTCTTTGTATTTTGCTTTAAATCCAGGAGGAAGAGATAACTTGTTCATCTGTAGGGCACATCAGAAGAAGTATATAAACCATTTATCTCACCACCTTAGGATTCTTTAAAAACTGGACGAACTTCATTCTAGCAGTAGTATGCAATAAGCTGAGACCAACACAGGAGAAAATGAGTCAGTTGCTGTTAGTGAAAGCTCTGGCAGGTTCTCAAAGTTAGCTTGTCTGCGGGGGGAAATGGTGGCTTTTTAATTACCATTGATATTATATTCAATGAGCTTTTTACCTTTTTTCTCTTCTGCTCCATGGTAGGAGAAAAATAGCAGCTTTGAAGATTTTTGAAAGCCATGTAAAATTATATTATAGAAGATTATGAAAAATTCCTTATAATGAAAAGTCAAGATAGTAACATTTAGTAAACTGCAGATTTCAAATCCTCATTTGCTGAAAGGTTTATCAGTACATGTTAAATCCAGAAAGGATTTAAAGAACTTTGAAAGCATTCTGGTCATTCTATAATTTAGAACAAATTAGGTTAAATTGTGAAGAGTTGTTCAGGATTACTGAAAAAAGTAATTACTCCAGATATATGCATACTGCTTATCAACAGGTTTTTATGTTCTATATTTCACTATGTTCTGACAAGATTTAAGACAAGGCTTGTTTTTACAATTCACACTTGAGAGAACTAAGATTCAGAGGTTAACTGACTTCCCAAAGTCACACAGCTAAAGTTAGTCAGCATTGATGTTTTTTTTGTTTGTTTGTTTGTTTTTTGAGATGGAGTCTTGCACTGTCGCCCAGGCTGGAGTGCAGTGGTATAATTTCGGCTCACTGCAACCTCTGCCTCCTGGGTTCAAGTGATTCTCCTATCTCAGCCTCCCGAGTAGCTGGGATTACAGGTGCTCGCCACCACGCACAGCTAATTTTTTGTATTTTTAGTAGAGATAGAGTTTCACCATGTTGGCCAGGCTGGTCTTGAACTCCTCACCTTGTCATCTGCCCGCCTCGGCCTCCCAAAGTGCTGGGATCATAGGCGTGAGCCACTGTGCCCGGCCGAAGATATGTCTTTATATTTTACATGTAGCAGTCTTCCCAGAAACTAGATGCCTCTTTCCCAGGGACTCTTCTGCTCCTTAAAGCCAGTTTATCTAATTGGTGTATTAATCCATTTTAAGACACTTTTTAAAGCAGATGGAAAGCCATATTAATCTGTTTTTTTTTTTCTTACCCATACTTCTTAGCCTATCAGCCTCTTGTGACATAGGCTTTTATCAGGTGGTAACATACCACAACTGTATTTTCAATAACCCTTTGAATAATGATTCTCATGTATTAGCAGATGTTTTGTAGCAGCAAGGTTGTATGAGGTGCCCATGAAAATGGGGCTCTCTTAACTATAGCACTGGCCATGACACGGGTAATGGGCATACATGGTGGGTGACTATCGGGGTCATCATAAAGCCAGTCCCACATGGCTTGCACATGAAGTATATTAGCTGCTTTATCTTGGGTGTTCTGCTTGGCATTTATAGGGGAAGTTGGACAGTCCCCATTCTCAGGGTAAACAGATCTTACAGTGGCTTTTTAAATCCAGTCCCCCAGACTAGCTGTTCCTCAAGAATAACCTCCTATGTGTCTGGATCATGTTTAGCCATCTGCAATCTTTCAATAGTGAGCTGTGGGTCCTCCATCAACCCAAACATTTCTTCCATTCTGCAGCATTTAAAACAAAAGATACTGCCCCTAAATTACTCTCATAGTCCATTTTAGTAAAGGTTCCTCAGGAAACTAATGATATGGATCTATGAAATGTAACAAATCCTTGTACATTATACCTTCTGGTTTCAAGTTACTTGGTTTTGCCTTTCCCCGACATTGACTACCTTCTTGGTAACCACAGATCTGAGAGGTATTTTGTTGTTGCTGCTTAACTTTGCCCTTGTGGGTAGCTCTGAGGCTAGTGGCTGAAGCTCAGCCTGAAACCTAAGCTTGGTGCAGCATCAAAGTTGGACCCAGCACTCTGTTTCATTTTAGCTATTATAGATAATAACCAAGGGATTGTAGAGTTCACTTTTCTTATTAGCTTGCATTTCCTTATGCATCCAGTCAATCACCTCTCTACGAGTTGGATCTATCTCTAAATTTTACTGGTAGTAACTGAGTGCAGCTGCAGCTCTATACCATGGGTGGCCATGTGGCCACCCAGGAATCAAAGGTTTCTGACCCATCACATTTCCATCATTTTTCTTGTCCACCTTTCTAAGCCAGGGCCCTTCTAGCAAATCCCACCTGTCTGATAGCAATCGGTAATCAACTTGACCTGCAGCCCCTTTCCCCTCCCGGGAGGTTGCTCTGTGAGGCTGAAAGCACCTCACCTTTAATCATGCCTGTATCTTTCCCGTGACCAGCTCTACCCTGGCTATCAGTCAATATTAGCATACAAAAAGATAATCATTTGAAAATTCCAAGGATTTTAGGGATTGTATTGCTAGGAAATGGAGACGAAGACCAGGAGACCAAATACGTATTTCACAGTATCAAAGAAACATGTTACTTTTGGAGTTTGGCAAAACAAAAAAACAAAAAAACAAAAAAAAAAAAACTGGATTTTTGGCTCCACCCGAGACCCATTCAGTACTGGGGAAGGGAATGAGAACATAATTGACATGTTTAACAAGCCTCCCAGGTGGTTATGCTGCAGATGATTTTTAAAACCTAAATATGTAAAGTGATGCCTAGGATTATACAACCCTGAACGATGCTTTGGAATGTGTATTTTATGCTTTACCACAGAAATTTCAATTTGAGAAGCCCAATATTTTAAAATAAGCCATACAATTAACACCCAACTTAGAATATCCACCCTAATTTCTGCTTAGTTCTGCTTTCTTCCTATAATAGATCTTATCAGTGCAACGTGCTAGCCTGATAAGAATCCTTCAGTTTAATCTTGCTTTATTCCCAACTCACACAGATTAGAAGTAAATTTATATGGCTCCTGGTAGGAAACAGGTGTTAAACAGATGAACAATTAGTGGATATCTGTTTAAACTGAGATTTTTTTATAACTGATGTTTAGAAATGAATCATCATAAACATGTCTGAATATTTTACAACTGGTAGTTTCTTAATTCTGCCCCACCAAAAATTACCTGTTGACTGACTTAAGCCTGGGCTTGGGCCCAGACTCTGATTTAAACATCCTATATGACTTTATGAGTAGGCAAATTTAGGAAACAGATGGTACTGATATTTTTCTCCTCCAATCCCAAAGTAACAACTCCTAACTGTAACTTAAATCTTCACATAATTACTAAAATTATTTTTACCAGGAATGTTCACTTGAGAGTCTAAATAAAAGCACTTTAAGATCAAAACAACTTACGGTTACTGTCACCTAAGACTAAGAGGAAGAATTTTCCTCTTCGGTCAGGGGAAAAAAAGCTTAAATCTGTATATTCCTCAGTAACCTACTTAGTTCTAAGTTCACCTCTACTTGTTTAACTCTCCCACCCCAAAGCAAAAATCATTCCTATTAATTAGTATCCCCATCTCAAAATAACAATGGTTTTCTGTAAATAATCCAAAGTAGACCTTCCAATATATATTTTTTTTTTTTTTGCAAATGGAAGTTTTTAAAAGGCACAGAGGAGCTTGCTGCTGGTACCTGCCAGTTACCTAAAAGTTAACCTAGTAATATGAAATTTTTTTGTTTATATATACTGAACTATAGTTATCAGTATCTAAGGCAAAATGATCTCAGAGAAGTTAATACTGGCAAAGTCAATGTCTTCATGTGTGAATTAGGCAGTTAATCAAGTCAGACATCACTATCATTGCCAAATGAAGAAAGCTACAGGTACTCAAAGATACCAAGTATGTGTTCAGAGATAAAAATTAAGATGATCACTAGACAAGATCAGTGGAAAATAAGCAGCAGTACTGCATCAATGCAAGACAAAATATACTTTATTGTGACAGCAAATGCACATAGTGCTGTAGGTAAGGCATGCTACTAGGAATCTGCATATAATCAAAAGCCAGTATGGAAATGAATGGAAATGAATGCTGTTGTTCTCAGATTGAGTCCATGGTGGAGAAAGGATAGTTTGTGTCCACTTATTTCAAATGCAGTATCATACCTACTTAATCAGTTACCTATGCTTCTAACCAACAGCCCAGTGGCAAATAGGAGGAACTTAACTGTACTCAGAAGTCACTTTTAATATCAACGACAGAAATATTTCACTAATTCAACTGAGGCAAATTTCCTTTCTAGACAAAGGACCTAGAAATTGAGCATGCAAAACATCCATCCATTCATTCATTCAAATAATTAGCCAATTTTACCGTCATTTAATTCCACCAGAAGCAAATACTAGAATATCTAGAAGTAGTTTGGGTAAAGAAACATTTACATTTTAATATTGTGTAATGTCATAAATTTGGGGCTAAAATAACACCAGGTCAAATTTGATCCCTTTGTATGTGAGGGTACAAAGTACAGTTTTCGTTTCAACAGCTGAACTTCTGAGAGAAGAGCTGAAAAAAATGCTAAATAAGAGATCTAGGCCTTTGATGGAAACTATTAGGCTCTACAGACTTGTCAAAAAATCAATGCAAAACTGAGGGGGAAAGGCTGAAATGCTTTGTAAAGCAGTATTTTTAGACAAGTTGCTTCATTTCCCCCTTTTCTAAAACAGATGCAGATTAAATGTTTTTTTGCATGAATGCACATTGACATTCTGTTCAACTGTTTTCTAAATGCAACACTGCGGGTTTCAACAGTATGCTTTCATTTAAACAAAGAATATTATATGCATGGTCAATTTAGTTTAAGAGATGAAAAAAAACTTTACTACTATGAAAATTGCTTATCAAATACTCTCCTCTTTTATAAGGTGTTTTTAAAAGCAACACAGGACCAAAAGCATCCAACTATTACTTTATTTATATTACTATGCTTAAGTTACATGGAAAAAGACAACCCAGCAGTTCTGTCCCATCTCAGAAAAAGTTTCCAATCAACACCAATTATGTGGTGACAAATAACTAGGAATGGTGACATCTTTGGGCCAAGACTGACAAGGAAGAATGGGCTCTGGTGCTACGGTTCATCTCCAACAAGAATATGGCACACCGGCCAGCACAAGCCATGCTAACACTGAGCCTTTAGCGCTGGGCACAGATTCGGATCTCTTCTCTGAAGCTAGCAAATCAAGTGAAATAACTGGGTTTAAAAAAAAAAGTTTAAAATGAAGCCCAAGTTTAAAAACCATACTCCTAACATTTTCCTTTCACAATTGACATAAAACACACTTTTTCACTCTAACAGCCCAGATTTTTTTCCTTACATAGCTCACCACATAGCTGCAGACAGACTCTGCTGCCTCAAGATGTAAACATAGGGTAAAAAATTAACGGCATCTGCATAATATTCTCTCTACACACTGCTGTTGGATGGAAAATACAAAATTTAAAAAAAAAGAAAGAAAGAAAGAAAGGTTCCATCTTAGATTCTCACAACCTCTTGTTCCGCAGTTCATTAATCCGACTCTGATGCTAAGGTGACAGTGTATGTAAGTAGATTTTTGTTTTCAGTGAAGGAGACCTGGGAAAAGATGGATTTCTCTCTGTATCTTCAAGAGTTATCAGATGGTACATGCTCCTCAAAGCCCTCACTCTCTCGAACTAGAGCACGTTCCAGGATCACGCGGCCTTCCTTATATCGCTGGCTGTCTTCAGTGGCAAACTCATAGATCCATCCCAGTTTGCTATTGCAGTTTTTGCAGCTCACATCTCGAACCATGTGGCGGCCAGTGAGCATGACCCGATCTTGAACTTCACTGTACTGCAGGTTAACTACCTAACAAGGGACAAGGAAAATCAAAATTGCAAGGCATGTTAGTTATTTGCCAAGTATGTACAAAATATTATGGTTAATGCAACAGCAACTTCAGAAAAGGAGAAAGAACTTGTTAGTTTAGTCAAACCTATAATACGCAAGACTTATTTATTAGAAGCTGCTGGGGCAGGCAGACATCTGGAAATTGCACTACACTAGACATCTAATGCAATCATGCACTACCGTACTAGCCTAAGTCACACTATTTAAACATACTAGTTACATTTCTGTGTTGCAGGTAAGAAAAAGTCCTGGAATTGGAGCCATAAAATGTAGGTTTGGGTCCAGTTGTAGTAATTCATCATTATTCAATGATGAGTGCAAATAATACAATCCATGTAAAAGAACCTAATGCACCATAGTTATTCCATAAAACAGTCTGTCAGTTTGTTTCTGAAAATATACTGTATATATAGACTGGGACAGATTAAGCCTACTAAAGACCATACATCTGCAGTACATAGTTTTAAAGTGAATTCAAAGACAATGAACACAATGAAGTGGGTCTGAGACAATGTGTAATGAATTTCCACTGATTCTGAATACCCAACAATCTTCTACACTTTCCTTTTCTGTAAAGGGCCAGATAGTACATATTTCTGGCTTTGACGGCTATGTGGTCTTTGCTGCAACTTTTTAACTCTGGCACTGTAGCATGAAAGAAGCTGTAGACAATACGTAATGCACAAGCAGAGCTGTGTTCCATTACATTTACCAAAACAGGCAGCTGTCCTGCTGCAGTGTGCCCTCCTCTGTACCAAAATAAATGTCAAAGAGTATGAGCCATCAATTCTGAGAAAAGCTGCTTCTACATGGAACAGAGGAGTGCCCACTGGGGAAGTTCATCTGATCTTCTAAGAACAGTACCCTAGACTAGCTATGTTCCTTAGCCTAAAATACTTGGAAATTCAACTTTTCTATTATATACCAGATTCCGGGAGGCAGAATCACGGCATCCAATTTGAAAGCAAGCCAGAAATTAGAGAGACAGGCAGACTGGGCACACACTTGCAAATCAGAAAAACACTCTTCCTGTCAGCAAATCCATGGAAGGATGATTGGTGAGCATGAATTAGAGCATGAAAAGTTGGTTAGATGATCGTTATTCGCTGTCAAGTTATAATAGTTTAACGCCACCATCTCCCTATATGGATAAACCAGTGACATGTGGAGAAAGGGAGGTGGGTATCTTGACCTGTTCCTTCCATAGTCTGTGCTGAAGTTGCTACCAAATTCTTACACTGAACATTTCCTGAGGCAACAGAGATCACACTTCTTTATACTTTTTTTTTTTTTTGAGACTGAGTCTCACTCTGTTGCCTAGGCTGGAGTGCAGTGGCGCTATCTCGGCTCACCACAACCTCCGCCTCCCAGGTTCAAGTGTTTCTCCTGCCTCAGCCTCCCGAGTAGCTGGGACTAGAGGCACACACCACCACGCCCAGCTAATTTTTGTATTTTTAGTAAAAATGGTGTTTCACCATGTTGGCCAGGCTGGTCTTGAACTCCTGACCTCGTGATCTGCCCACCTCGGCCTCCCAAAGTGCTGGGATTACAGGCATGAGCCACTGTGCCCAGCCTACTTCTTCAAACTTCCAAGGTTAAAATCACATCCTAGTAACACCTTCCTAAGGTCCCATCAAAGACGAGCTAGTGGGCAATCATTTCTGTAGATTTCAAGCTCTCATTCTGACTCTTCCTGGTATCTCTAAGCTCTGAGGGGGTATTCTGGTGTTGCTGTCAAATACAGCCAATAAGCCCACTTAGGAATCAAACTTTTTCTCACTAACCTTGTTAAAAAGAAATGCTCTGCCAGTGGCGCCTGTGAAACGAGTGGAGATGAGTTCTGAGCGGTTGGTCAGGATCGTATCACAGTTTGCACAAGAAAACAGACGGGTACCACCGATATGATCAAGGAAAATTCTGCCCATTTTTATGGCTGAAGTTCTAAAAACCTAGGAGCAAATAGAAAAGGATAACAAATGCATTATAATAATCATGTTAGCACCTACTTGGGGGGTGTCATAGAGAACAATTTGTATACGTATTTATGTAATCTCTGCTTTGTAGTACTCGATGTGTGAAATAGCTGATCCTGAACAAAAAGATCCAAAGTTCACACACTGAACAAATAAACAGGCATGCCTAAGCTAAGAAGATTTTAAAGCAGTGAGCCAAGGAAGTAAACCTATTAGCCAAGGCCAAAGAATAGTGTCACTTCTCTTATGGCTGGTGTGGAAAAAGAAAATGGAAAGTGGAATTTCAGAAAATGAATGATGTAAAGCACTGGCAGAGAGGTGAGAAAAAAGGTTTAGCATAAATGTTAAGTATACGTTCTGAGCATGTATAATTTCAGAAAAGAATTGTGAGGTTTCAGTGGGATACAAGTAGATAAAGGGGCAATTAGAAAACAAGAAGAGAGTAGTCTGGTTTGAGAACACAGAGTGAGTAGGTCTGTGATCACCAGGTGCATCTACAACTATAGAGGTGATGACTAACTTTAAGTCAATGTCTAGGGAGCACTGTTACTAGGTACTTATTTCAAAATTGTCACAGCTCTGTGAGGTTGTTACCATCACTTCACAGATCATCCAAGTCAAGGCTAAAAAGGTTATTAACTGGTCAAAGGTTACAAAGCTGTTAACTACAGAAAAGTACAGAATGCAATTCACCTAATTCAAAGTTCTTCCATGATCCTACACTGCCTCCAAGATGGTCCAGGCTGGCATAAGGCTAAAGCAATGAGAACAGAATAAGGGAAAGATAAGCTTTCCCATACATAACTTGATTATCTTTAAGAAATCTTACTGATTCAATAAATCATAAAAGTGCTGAAACACTGAAAAGATGTAAGTTTGAAACATATGTCTGAAACTAGGGTAACACTTTATAACATTCAAAAGTTAGGGAAGTTACTATATGCAAGTTCTTAAATCCATCATAACTAATTATCCTAAACAGTATTCTTAAAGATCTAGATATAGTCAAGAATATACCACAGTTTTAATTTAAAACATAATTTATTCTCAGGTATAGTTATCAGCGCCTGTGTTTTAAATATTTATTATACATCTTTCCAATGGCATGCAGAGCTAATGTAACTGCCACTGTGGAAAAAAAAATCCAGAATGCATGTTCATAATGAGAATCTACTGTTGTCTTAAGATTGGGGGAATTCCATTACAAATTTAAAAGGAAATTCCATTCCTTCTAGGTCTATGAACTTCCCCAGCCATTAGGCGGTCTTAATGTCACTAGAAATGTTATCACAAAAATCATTATGACTCCCCTTAAACATTATGAAAGTTTAATAGGGAATAAAAAACAAATGGTGAATATAATGACAATGTGCAGCTAGTAAAAGGAAAACCAGCATATTAACAAGCATCACAATGAACCTTGCACTAAAACACAGACTTAAGCTATAATATTTAACTTTCTAATTACATTTCTATAAAACAACAAAAGGAAACACTTATTGCCTTATTTCAGCCTTTAAGATTACCGCATTATTTTTTTCCAGATGATTAAGAATACAACACTTGGCCAGGTGCGGTGGCTCACACCTGTAATCCCAGCACTTTGTGAGTCTGAGGTGGGCGGATCACCTGGGGTCAGGAGTTCAAGACCAGCCTGGTTAACATGGTGAAACCCTGTCTCTATTAAAAATACAAAAATTAGTCAGACGTGGTGGCGCACGCCTGTAGTCTCAGCTACTCGGGAGGCTGAGGCAGGAGAATGGCTTGAACACAGGAGGCAGAGGTCGCAGTGAGCCAAGATCATGCCACTGCATTCCAGCCTGGGTGACAGAGCAAGACTCCGTCTCAAAAAAGAAAAAATACATTTATTATTTATTTACATATAAGTCAGAAGTTGCAAATTCGAGGCCTACAGGCTGAATTCATTTGGTAGCCTAGGAATACAGCAGTGAACAGATACAAAAATCCTTCCCTAAAAAACATATGTGGACATGTCTGTTTTATTTGGGTCACACAGTTTTTAATCTTCATTTTAAAAAGTTGAGATGACATTTAAAATTTGGAAGATCTCATTAAAGAGCCTGTAGTTTGGATTTCTTTTTAACAATGGGGAGGGCACATATTCTCCTATGGCAACAACTGACTACAAGTGACCTGCACCCCCTAACCCTCACCAGGCCATTTTATTTGCTCAGTCTCCACTTTGCTTCACACAATTACTTCACCTCTTTGGTCCTTGAACCAATATTTGAATGTATGACTCCTGATATAAATAAAACACTCAACAAACCTGTGAGCAGTTAAGTTTGGTCATGTTTCTGAATCTTGATCATTAACAGAAGGGAATCAACAGCAAGGTTTTGGAGTCTCAGCCGTTGAGGTATAGGCCTCAGATTCTGTATGTCTTTGAAGACTAGTATTTGTGCAGTCATTTGTAACCTCCAGCTAGGGGTCTGGGATTCATTATTTTAAAGCCAATTTCCCTTAAGACTTTTAAATACAATATTCATGTTGTAATTTATTTCAACCGTAATGGGAGAGTAACTACCTGTATCTACATTGACCACTGTGACACCATACGGTTGTGGTAAATGCGCTGGACTTCAAAGTGAACTTTCCCTATGCCTTCTGCCTACATCATTTTATCCTTGGCTAAAAACTACTGTGATCATTTCCTACTGAGGGTAAATACATTTAACATGCCTTTTTCCCCTGATTCCATCTATTTTTTCTCTTTACCCAAGTATTTTTACTGGATTCAATTATATGATTCATTACCAAGACCAAAAATATCTGAGCAAAACCTTATGTTACACTATTCCTAGTTGTGGTTGCCATTTATAGAGAATTATACATATAGAACTGTAGAATGTAGTTTTTGTTTGCTAAGAAAGATAAGTTAGAATGCCACAGGATCTAGCAGAAGCAAGCAAAACATCACTTGCTGTCAAAGGTCTTTAGGAAGTAGAAAAACCTCTGTAGGGTCCTTAGGCTCCAAGAGGTAGCCCTGGCCTTTGCAGGGTTAGAAACTCAACCTAACACTGACACTATTCAAACTCTCAAGAGGCTGACATCCATTAAAATGCCACTGCTATGGTCTCAATGTTTGTGTAGCCCCCACCATTCATATGTGATATTACCAGGTGATTAGGTCACAAGCACAGAGCCCTCAAAAATGGGATTACTATCCTTATAAAAGGGTCCCAGAGAGCTGCCTGCTCCTTTCCACCATGTGAGGACGAAGCTAAAAGGTACCATCAACAGACATTGAATCTTATGTTGGACTTCCTGGCCTCTAGAACTGGGAGAAATAAATTTGTTGTTTATAAGCCATACAGTCTATAGTACCCTGTTAGAGCAGCCAGAAGGAACTAAGACAGCCACTTATTTAAGGAGGACAAAGGCCGGGCGCGGTGGCTCACACCTGTAATCCCGGCCCTTTGGGGAGGCCAAGGTGGGCGGATCACGACGTCAGGAGATCGAAACCATCCTGGCTAACACTGTGAAACCCCGTCTCTACTAAAAATACAAAAAAATTAGCCGGGCATGGTGGCGGGCACCTGTAGTCCCAGCTACTCAGGAGGCTGAGGCAGGAGAAAGGCATGAACCCAGGAGGCGGAGCTTGCAGTGAGCTGAGATTGTGCTACTGCATTCCAGCCTGGGCCACAGAATGAGACTCCGTCTCAAAAAAACCAAAAAAAAAAAAAAAAAAACAAAGGACAGTCATTAAAAAGCTAAGATACTAAGATATAACACTTGAATCAGGCTTCTCTGGACCTGAATAACATATTGAACTCTGCCTTAGACCTAATAATTATTTAGCATCTACACTGTATGGGACACTGTACTTGGTATTTACATACCGCATTTAATTTTGACAATTTTTAAAGTAGGTATTTATCACCTCACTTTTATAGATGAATTAAAGAGACTGTGACTTTCCAGAAGTGGCCAAGCCACTGCATTCTATTATCTCTCTAGTGATTAGAGGGCTATCAGATTTACTCTCTCCCTCAGGGTTTACCATCAGCCCTTCCTGCTTCCATGCTGTTCCTCCTGTATTCCCTATCTTGGTTGATGCCAACTGCAATCACAAACTCTCCTAAACTAGAAACCCTAGTAAGTCATTTAAAAAACTGCAAAATTAACAAGACTTCCTAAATCACTTTTGGAAGTTTTCCTCCCTCCCCTTCATCACTGTATTAGATTCAAACTCTCCTCACATCCGGATAAAACTTTCAGGGTCAGCGAGTGTGACTGTTAAACCCAACATACATTCATACGTACCACTTCATTTCTGCTACATAGAGCTACAAAAATATGGTCAAAGGCATGTGCCGCCCATTTCTAAAAGCTCATAGAGACTGCTCCTTTATAAAATTTGAAACTTTTTTCTGACAGAATAGAAAATTGCAGGTTATTTTTTAAAAAGAAAAAAAAAACCGCTTTATTAAGGAATACTCTACATGACAAAGTTTACTCACTACAAGTGTACAATTCAATGACTTCTAGTCAATTTATAAAATTGTGCCACT
The DNA here is from genome assembly GCF_000001405.40 of Homo sapiens. Classification (NCBI taxonomy): domain Eukaryota; kingdom Metazoa; phylum Chordata; class Mammalia; order Primates; family Hominidae; genus Homo; species Homo sapiens. Next base: position 30,152,068 of record NC_000002.12, on the reverse strand, counting down.
ATCACCACCAATTGGCTTTAGAATGCTTCCATTAGCCCCTCAAAAATTCCCACACACCAGCCTGGAGCCAATACCTTCTCCAACTCCCAGCCACTGGCAACCACTGATCTGCTTTCTGTCTGATTGCTTTTATATTCAAAATATTTCCCAAGTATGCTAATCACCTTGCTTGGACTTAGAGTAATCCCAGATCTCTTCAGCCCCGTATTTCTAAAACATCTTAAGAGTGAGCTGCTTTCACAGACAGCTAATGTTTGGTGTTGATTCTGGGGGCAGCTTACTGTGTCCTTTAGTAGCAACACACAGGCTTTGGTACATGTCAGTGCTGAAGTTCAAGTTTATAGTGAAATGAGAGCTAAACTCATCATAAAGCTTAAGTTTTATTTAAGATGTTCCCTACCTTATCATGTTATAAATAAGGCCTCTTTGGTACTATTTTCTTGTAGGTCCAGGTTATAAAAATCCTAAAAAGGTTGAATAAGAAAAGTACCAAGCTTGACTGTTTAACTGGAAGACTATTCTTAGTTTATTTGAAATTACCTGAAACAGTGAGGGGCTGGGATGAAAATATAAGTGAAATTTATAGATAATTTCATAGATCGTACTTTAGTATTATTTTCAATTTCCTCCCTCTCTCACCAATAGCATATTTAGCTATCTACAACTTCCAATTTCTCTTTTATCAGAAGACTCTGGTGAAATATTAATAACATTTTAGGATCTCTGCCTTGTTACAGAATTTTTTTTTTTAATTACAGAATCTGTAAGAGGGGAAAAAAAAAGATGATTCTCTTCAGAGCCAAAGAGTCTCCAGGAATGCATTATTTTAAAATGCATGATGGATATGATGGACTACATAATTTCCTAGTTTGCTTCCACATCAATAAAACAATTTTCTAAAAAGACTATTGGTTTATTTTACACATACACTATCAAGCGAAATACGGTATCTTGTTCACTTGTCTGGCTCATTGCTGACTGTTTTCCTTAAAAGCTGGGAAGGCTGTGGGTCAATTCAGCTCGCCACCTGTTTCTGTACTGCCCACAAGCTGAGAATGAATTTTGTACTTTTAAATGGTTGGGGGGAGGGGAGAATATTTTCTGACACAAGATATATGACATTCACACTTGAGTGTCAAAGTTTTTAGGAACACAGCCACGCCCATTTGTTTACACTTTACTCCTTCCACTTTACAATGAAGAGGTATGAGGAGCTGCTACAGAAACCTTCTGGCTTGCAAAGTTTAAAATATTTTTTACCTGGCCCTTTACCAAAAAAAAGTTTTCCCTGCTTAAAAACACATTCTGATAGTGAAAGAGCTTTGCATTTAGAAAGCAGTCTTTCCCAGAAAAAATGGAAACTTGGTTGGCATTTGGGATTAAAGCTAGATAGGAGTATTTGAAAAGATCAGTTTAATCCCATTCCCCTTTTCTTTACTGATTTTCTAGCTAAAATCCTTAACTTTCCGTAACCAGTTCAGCATGTTGAAGATCAACTCTAATAAAGATTATAAAAATAGATAATATCTACCAGCTGCTCTCTCCTCTCTCCACCCCCAGGACTTAAACTGTGGAGCTCAGATACTTGAATTCTGGAGATTCCTAGGTTCAAATCTCAGCTCTTCCCCCTTAATAGCTTTGGAAACACTGGGTGAGTTATCCTCTCCTGTTTCATCTGTAAAATGGTGAGAGCAGCAGCCACCTCTGAGTTATGAGAAATTAAGTGGAGATACTGTATTCTGAGAACGGTGCCTAGCACACAGTGAATGCTCAATAAAGGTCAGTAAAACTAGATTATCTTCTTCAACATTCCCCATCCCAACTCACCCTATGACAGATGAGAAAAGCATGGCTCACAAAGGATATGAAACAATAACAATTAACTGGCTTCACTTCCTGCTAATTATGCTAAAGCTAAGCAACCAGGTGATAGAAATCAGAAGCTGGAGGAAAGTTAGAAACCTTCTGAAGCATGTCACAGTTCTGGGTCTTAAAATAGGTACTTGTTGTCCCTATAATTAATAATCCAGTTTGGTTTCAACCCTGGTAAGTGGAATTAGTCAAGGGAGGCACCACTTCCCAGCCCTAAAAATACCAGGGAGGGTAGGTATCTATTCGCATCTCATAGAACCTTCTGACGGAAAAACACCCAGTTCACAGATAAACTTTTCCTTAGTAAATGAAACCATCGCCTCAGGGCATTTCCATAGAATACACACTTCACCAGATCCCCAGTGTTGGACAGACCACAGTGGGTTTTCCATTGCATCAGAAGATGGGACAAAGGCAAGGTACAAAGACTGCTGCAGGGAACTGAGTATGCAGGCATCTAGCGCAGAAAGGGTTAAAGGAACCTGCCCCTTGCAGAGGTGGTTTTGTTTCGCAATGACTCTGCTAAAATGGAATCCCGTGGAAGCCAGCTTTCCTATCTCGTTTTTAATCTCTTCCCTCGCCAAAACAAAGGATAAAAACCCAAATAACTTTTAAGAGTGCTGGGTTGATTACTATAATAATCAGCACTTACTGCTATTGTAATTTCATCAACTCTTTATACTGAGTTGTGACTAAACGCTATTAAAAAATCTACATGGGAAAACAGTTTGATCCATACAATCAACTTTCCAATTTTTGTGCAAAATATATAACAAGCTAAGTTTTCAGTGACACAAGCAAGCTCTGCTTTCCTCTTGCAGTACGTGACCAGTTTACTTTGCTGTGTCAAATGATGTCCTGTTGTGGAATCAGGTCTTCATTTGCAGTACGTTTTAAGGATATATTTTTGTTCTCCCCCCTCAATAATGCCTTATTTTTTCCTGTTTTGTTAGATGACTTTCAAGTTCACTATATTTCAATAACACTTATATTTAAATATTAGAAAATAAGACTAGTCATTTCACTCAGGAAACCTTGTGTGTTAGTGCACAATCTGAGTTGGTCATCCCCCGCTAAACCCTAGCAAGACAATTTCATGGTCTCGTTTGTTGTGATGCAATACCAAAAGCCTCTAACTAGATGGATTGACGTGTAATTTACCTGTCTGGCTTCCCGACTCAAGTGTCAAGTAGCAACTTCAGGTCTAGCTAAGGTTCAGTTCCTGCATTACACTGACATTACTACACAGGATTATCTTAAAACTGACACTGATCTCTATAGTTATTCACCATTAAACCTAGAATGATATTTTAGGCACACATATACCTAGGACTACCTTCATGTCTCGTGGACTGTTTTTCAGAGGGTAGTAGCTGCTTTAATTACTTCTTTTCATAATTTTTGGCCTTATTTCCTTTCACTTTTTTCTAAACCTGTTTATTTTTCTCATTACTTAAATAGAAAACAGAAAAGGGAAATTAGTCTAGAGAAAAGTTCGCAATGATCCAACCAGGTAACATTATTTTCCAAGCTACATATATTTTACTAACGTCTCATAACTTGCTAAAATTATTGCTCGACTTTGTCCACGACTTTTGATTAAGTTATAAGCTTCTAGAGAAACTATTCTAAATTCTTTGTACTTTACTTCTTACCTAACCCAGTACAAGTATGCGATAAACTTTCAGGAAACGAATTCACCAAAGCACTTCACTTCTGGCATGAATATGTACCCTGGGAACACCACAGGCCTTTTGGTTCCTCTTTGGTGGAATGCAGCTGCGACGCTCTATATGTGGCTATGCAAAGTTAGCTAATATCCTACTCCTCCCAGTTTCTTCACCACCAAGTCTACTAATTTTCCAAAAACACAAGGTTAGCCCGAAGTTACTTCAGGTTTTCCATCTGTCAAGACGACGTAGAATAAAAATCCTCAGATTACCAACAGATCTCTGTAAACAGAAAAAGTTTAAAAATAAATGAGCTGTACAGCTTCCCAGACTCTCCCTTGAAAGGGAGATTAGTTGGTATCAGGATTAAACAGATCTTTGTAGTATTTCAATTTCCCACTCCCGCTGATCCGGACACTCATTTGTCCCATCTACCTGCAGAGAAGGTACAGGAAAGGGGTTGCAAGGGCACGCCCACCCTCCCGACTGCAAGCGGAGGGAAGGCCGCAGCCCGAAGCTGGCGGAGCTGGGCCGGCCCGGGCGACCCCCGGGTGGGCTCACCCGGCAGCCGCAGTGGGGCCCGCGAGCGCCCCCGCCGGCCCAGCTGATGGAGGCCACGTGACGCCAGCCGGCCAATCGGGAGGGACCGGGGCGGCAGAGCGCGGCGGCGGCGGTGGCGGCGGGGCCTCCCTCGGCACAACAAACACGAGCAGGAAACAGCTGAGCGGGTGGCCGGGGGGCTCTCTTGGTCCCGACACCCGGCGGGCTGCCCAACCGTCACCCTGCGCTGTCAGTCCCGGGTCCTCTGGGCAGGAGGGCGGGGGAGGCGGACGTTCATGGGGGGGAGGGGGCAAAGGGAGACACCGCCCCAGCCCGGTGGCTGGGCCGCTTGGGCCGGGCGTGGGCCCTGCTCAGGACGGTTCACGCCGTGCGGTCATCGCGGCCCAAACAACTCGGTCAAGTTCCGACTTGGATTCGGGGCGGAGACCGGGCGCGCCCCCGACTATGCGACGGGTGGGGGCGGGGCAGCCGCGGCGCGGCGCGGCGGGTTGGGGGTCGCGGCCAGACCGTCCGCCCAGGGGGCGCCGTGGGCCTCGGCGGCGGGCCTCGGAGGACGCGACGGGGAAACGGGGCGGAGGCGCGGGCGCCGCGCGGAGGGGTTGCGGCTGTTGTCGCACCGGTCGCCCGGCTGCGCGGCGGGGGCGGGCCGACGGCGGCCGCCGCGCCAGGCCTCACAAAGAGCAAACAGCCCCGCGCGTCCGCCCGCGGTCCCAGCGCCGGGGCCCACCCTGAAGGATCTGGGGCGGCCGCTCTGGGACCCCGGGAAGAGCGCGGCGAGGAAGAGGCACTTCCTGCCTGGGCCCCCCACCCTGGGCCGATTCCCGAGTGCCTCGAAGCCGCCCGACCCGAACGGGCGCCTCAGTCCCCACCGGCCCCGAGTCCAGCCCCTCCCGCGGGACTCACCCTGAGCGGCGGTGAGATCCGCGGCTGCCAGCGGCTTGTCGCTCTTCAGCTGGTATGAAGCCCCTCGGCCACCCGAGTCTCCAGGTTTAGTCAGGCCCTGGCCTTGGCCCCGCCTCTCCCTGGTTGGGCCTCAACGTCAGTCACCCGGCGTGGCTCCGCCCCCCCGCAGTCAGCTCTCCCGGTTGGCCCAGAACGCCCTTTATTTCTAGGCCCCGCCCCTGTCCTCGGCCTCCTGCCTTTTTCGCGGGGCCCCGCCCCTTCTCTGGCTCACCCTCCCCCACTCCCGCACCCCTCCGCTTCGCGGCCCACCCCTCTCAGAAGCCGCAGACCCAGGGCAGGCTTGCGACAGCTCGCCCCGCCCCTGACCCAGCACCTCGGACTCGTACAGCCAATCAAAGAGGCTAACTCTGCCCCTTCTCTCGAGGCGGCCAATGTAGTCAGTCTGGGGACCCACCTCCCCCTTTCAGCTGAGCGCACACAACACAGCATCCACGTGAGTCAGCTTCTTAAAGGCGAAGGCTTGGCCTGTCTAATTGCGGCAGCTGCGAGACATCGCACGTCATTAGCGTCACCAGGTAGCGGCTGGAGCCGAGCTTCCTGATACCTAGTGAGCCGCGGTGATGACAAATGAAAACAATAAGCTGTTTCCTAGACAAACAGCTGCCTAGGTAACTAAAGTGCACCGTGTAATTCGTTTCTTGGAGGCCGTTTCCCCGACCACCCCTGGTAGAGGGCTGCCTTTTGCTTTCAAACCCCTAGCCCTCGAGTCTAAGCGCATAGGCACTCCTAAGAAACATCTGTGGATACAGGATTTTTCAACTGCGCTTGACTTTATTTACAACTCATTTGAATGTTTTTTCTGGGTAGTGGAAATGATTCTCAAAAAGATGAAGAAATTCAGTCTTCTATATGGCGAATTTCTGCCTCAGAGAGTGAGATTTGTTCATTGCAAAGAGCAGCTGTTCCCTTAACCCTTATCAATGCTTAAGATGGAAGATGTTGCTTCTCATTCCATTAGAGTTGCCCAGGTACTTACATCTCTGTTAGCTGACTTTCGGGATAAAACCAAAATATTTGATGACGCATACCTCTCAGATTAAAAATGTAGGTTAGCATTTGGGGCTAGTTTGCAACATGTTTAAAGTCATTATTGGTGGAAGAGAAGCTGCTAAGCAAATTCTAGCACTTGACTCCCGCTCATCCCCAAATCCACAAGTATTTTCATTTAGTTCGTCTGAAGTTTACCTGAGCATCAAAGGCAAAAGGACTAGTTATCTTTTAATAAGTGAGTTTTCCAGGAGATAAGTTTTTTTGTTTGTTTGTTTCAGACGGAGTCTTGCTCTGTCGCCCAGGCTCGAGTGCAGTGGCATGATCTTGGCTCACTGCAACCTCCGCCTCCCGGGTTCAAGCAATTCTCCTGCCTCTGCCTCCTGAGTAGCTGGAATTACAGGCGCACACCACCACGCCCGGCTAATTTTTGTATTTTTAGTAGAGACGGGGTTTCACCATATTGGCCAGGTTGGTCTCGAACTCCTGACCTCGTGATCCGCCCGCCTCGGCCTCCTGAAGTGCTGGGATTACAGGCATGAGCCACTGTGCCTGGCCAGAAGTTTTAAACATACAGTATTTTAGTTTATTTTCCTTTCTATTTCTTTATTTTCAATTAACAATATTTAATATAAAAGTTACACGTTTATTGTAGGAAGATCATACTGCCTCATTTGATAAGAGACTTCTGTCTTCTAACAGCTTCATATGTATCCTATTCTTCCCAAATTGAATGTATTATACATAGAAGCATATTGTACTTCCTGTTTTTCAACCTGCTTTTTTTTTTCACTCAACAATGTGCTATAGCCATCCTTTCATGTCAGATGTGTCTTTTATCTACAAATTTACCTTTGTCTCCATAGTTTTCCGTAGTATGACTTCACCATCTTTTTTTTTTGAGGTGGAGTCTTGCTCTGTGCCCCAGGCTGGAGTGCAGTGTTGTGATCTTGGCTCACTGCAACCTCCACCTCCCAGGTTCAAGGAATTCTCCTGCCTCAGCCTCCCCAGTAGCTGGGACTACAGGTGCCCACCACCACGCCCGGCTAATTTTTGTATTTTTAGTAGAGATAGGGTTTCACCATATTGGCCAGGCTGGTCTCAAACTCCTGACCTCAGGTGATCTGCCCACCCTGGCCTCCCAAAGTGCTGGGATTACGGGTGTGAGCCAATGTGTCCAGCTTTCACCATCTTTTCTAAATGTTTCTAAACATTTTTCTACTGATAGACATTCAGATTGTCTTCAGTCTTTTGTATTAAAAATAATGCTGTAATCGACACCTGTGTACATGGATAAAACATTCAAGTATTTCTGAATATAATCATTTGAAAAGAGAGTACAATGCTTAAACCCACAGAAATGAACACTTTAAGTACCAGATAAAACAGTGGGGACAATGTTTATTTATATAACAATATATATAAAATTCTTCCTGTTGTAAGTGCCTTAAAATTATTAACTTTTAATTTTCATAACAACTCTGTGAGGTAAGTACTGTTATCCCCATTTAATAGATGACAAAACTGAGGTACAGTGATTAACTAACTTGTCCAAGGTCACCCAGTAGAGTTATCGACTACAGTATTTGTGAACTTGAAAAATAACAATAAAAATCATATTTTAGAAAGATTAATCTAGATGATGATGATGTGCAGAAGTAAGGAAGGCAGGCAGGAATGGAGCTAAGGTTTGCAGTTTTAACTTTAACAGGAAGGGCTACACAGGACTGACTTTCTACCTGGGTTAAGGACAGAATTTTTAAAGTCAGAGGTTTTATCCTGGGTGACTGATAGTGTGATGGTTTCCCATTGCCAGATATAGTGTGGTTGAGAAGGTTGATTTGGGGTGAAAGAGGCTGAGTCTGAGCTGATGGTGGGACACTCAGAAATAAAGTGTACAATTAAAGGTGATATGAGAAATATGGAAGAGAAATGAAAAAGAAAGGGTGAGAAGTTTGAAGAAAATCTTGCTGGGCTTTTGGTTAGAATTGTGTTATACCAGTAAGGTAATTGGAATAAGTTGATACTTTATTGAAACTTTATAATACTAAGACTTTCCCACCAAGAACATGGTACATTTTTTTCCATTTATCCAAATGTTCATTTATGTCTTTCAGTAAAATTTTATGGTGTAGCTGCCTTCCTGTATGTTTTTTACATAACATTTTAGGATTGTATTTAGGTATTGTATATATTCTGGGAATGCTACGGGCTAAATTGTGTTTCCCCCCACCGAAATTCATGCGTTGAATCCTAATCCCCAGTACCTCAAAATGTGACTGTATTTGGAGGTAGAAACTTTAAAAGGTGATTAAGTTAAAATGAGGTCATTAGGGTGGGCCCTAATCCAATCTGACTGGTGTCTTTATGAGAAGAGGAGATTAGGCCACATGGAGAAACCAGGGATGCCTGCACACAGAGAAAAGACCTTTTGAGGATGTAGTGAGAAGATACCATCTGCAAGGCAAGGAAAAGGGCCTCAGAAGAAACCAAACTCACAAGAAAGCCAACACCTTGATCTTAGACTTCCAGCCTCCAGAATTGTGAGAAAACACATTTCTGTTTAAGCCACCCAATCTGTGGTGTTTTGTGGTGGCAGCCCTAGCAAACTAATACAGGTAGCTACTGTGAATGGGAACTTCCCGTATTATATATTACATCTCTAACCAGTTATTTGTTTTGTAGGAAATATGATGATTTTGTAGTTTATTTTCCTGGATTTTCTGGATGGAAAAATGTTTTTATCTGCAAATGATCACAGTTTTGCTGCCCACTTTCTAGTCATTTTGCCTTTTGTTTTTTTTTCTTTTCTTTTTTTTTTTTTTTTTTGAGACAAGAGTCTCGCTCTGTCACCCAGGCTGGAGTGCAGTGGTGTGATCTCGGCTCACTGCAACCTCCATCTCCTGGGTTCAAGCGATTCTTCTGCCTCAGCCTCCTGAGTAGCTGGGACTACAGGCACATGCCACCATGCCCGGCTAATTTTTGTATTTTTAGTAGAGATGGGGTTTCACCATGTTGGCCAGGATGGTCTCGATCTCCTGACCTCGTGATCCACATGCCTCGGCCTCACAAAGTGCTGGGATTACAGGCATGAGCCACCACTCCTGGCCTTTTATTTCTTTTTAAATCCTTGCTCATATATCTTTGAGTATATCTGTGAATATTTCTATCAGACAAATTCATAAAAGTTATTACTAGTTTGTAATGTTCCTTTTTCTAAAGAATGGGCATGCAGTTTTATTAAATATCTTTTAGTGTCCATTGAGATGACCATTTTTTTCCCTTTATTCTGTTTTTTTATATGTATTACATTAGCCCATCTCCAATATTAAACTAGCTTTGTGTTTCTGGGATAAAAACTCCTTTGACATTTGACGTGTGCTGACACTGACATTCTTTGAGTAAATAAAATAAAAAACAGGAGTATACCAGTGTACACCAACATACCCTGCTGCTTTATTCGGGTTACTGACTATACTTTCTGTCTGAAATTGTCTGCTGTGTCCTCAGTAGATGACTCTATTTAGTAACTACAAACCCTGAGTCAGGCTTTCAGAATGCCCTTCTTTTTATTTATTAGTAGAGATGAGATCTTGCTATGTTGCCAGCGCTGGTCTCGAACTCCTGGGCTCAAGTAATCCTCTCTCCTCAGCCTCCCAAAGTGCTGGGATTACAGGCATGAGCCACTGTTCCTGGCCAGAGTGACCTTCTAATGGTGCTTCCATGGACCTCTCCTTTGCTCCTATTTTCTTTCTCTTGCTTTTGGAGCTGCTCCTTTAGAGGTGAGACCACCCTTCAAGTGGGTGAAATCAGCTGTGAGTCTCTCATTGCTTCTGTGTACTTCCCACAGCCTAGTAAATTTTCTCTTTGCTCCTCAAGCCCTGGAACATTTGGGCCTCCACCCACCTGTCTTACTCTCTGCGGAGAGTCTTGCTTCATATTTAGAGTCAGATTAAGACCAGTGGAAATGAACTGCCTTACATTTTCTCTGTTTCAGCATATCTTCCTCTGTCACCTATTTTCTCCAGGTTTGGATAAAAGGTAGTCTCTCCTGATAATTCTCAACACCTGATGGACACCTATTCCAGGAGAACACTCTGCATCCTGAAGCTCATTCTGTCCTAAATGGATCCCATATCTCCTCTCAACGCAGAGACAAAAACAAACATTCCTTAGGCCTAGGACCATCACTTCCCTTGTGTCTGTTCATGGACCACAATACCTTGCCTGCTTCAATGGCTGCAAGTGTTTATCATCTCTGTCTTGTCTGGGCCCTGCATACAAGTGACCTGCCCTCATATCCAACACTCCAGTTTAGACTCCAGTAACCTCTTACTGGTGGGTTCTAATAACCTTTTAATAACTTCCCTCTATCTTGCCCCTTGCTTTATATTGAGATCATATTCATTGTTTCCCCTCCATCTTGCTGCCTGGATCATGAATGATGTCTATACCACAGGGACCAGGATGCCATCTAGGGACAATGGAGCAATGAGCTGGGAGGAACCTGGATCCTGAACATTGTGTGGAGTACAGCTGTCATAAGGCTGAGGTTGCATTGTGTGTGTGTGTGTGTGTGTGTGAGTGAGTGTGTGTGTGTGTGTGTTGTTTACTTTAACCTGAGCTTATGAGAGCTCTGGGTAATGTAAATAGAATAGCTCCTTTAGGAAGTGTCTTAGTCATTTTGGGCTGCTATAACAAAAATGCTGTATACTGGTGGCTTAAATAACTATTTATCATAATTTTGGAGGCTGGGAAGTCCAAGATCCAGACACTGGCAGATCTGGCATCAGGTGGGGGCCTGCTTCCTGGCTTATAGACAGTTGCCTTCTTGCTGTATCTTCACATAGCTGATGGAGAGATCATTTTGCTCTTATGTCTTCTTATAAGGGCACTCATCCCATTTGTGAAGGCTCCACCCTCATGACCTGATTACCTCCCCAAAGCACTACCTGCTAGTACCATCACATTGGGGATTAGGCTTCAACCTATACATTTTATGAGGAAATGAACAATCAGTCCATATCAGGGAGAAATAAATATATGTAACTATAATCACAAGTTAAGTAGTTAAAATAAAAAATATCAATATCTTATTCTGTGTGTGGCCCTGCCAATTTACTAAAAGCTATCATAAAGGACACTGATCATAAAACTTAGCCAATCATTTTAGCCTGCACAAATTCTATACGGTATTTGAAATAATCAACCAAACAATAATTCTTCAAACTTTGTTTCGTTTTGTTTTGTTTTGAGACAGTTTCGCTCTGTCGCCCAGGCTGGAGTGCAGTGGCACAATCTCGGTTCACTGCAACCTCTGCCTCCCGGGTTCAAGCAGTTCTCTTGCCTCAGCCTCCCAAGTAACTGGTACTACAGGTATGTGTCACCACACCCGGCTAATTTTTGGTATTTTTAGAAGAGACGGGGTTTCACTGTGTTAGCCAGGATGCTCTTGATCTGCTGACCTTGTGATCCACCCATCTTGGCCTCCCAAAGTGCTGGGATTACAGGCATGAGCCACTGTGCCCGGCCTCAAACTTTTTATTCTCTTGGCTCTGGCAGCGTAGTACTCACCTGTGTAAGACAGAATAATAATACAACCAAAGATGTGTATACCCTAATCTCCTATGAAGATATTACCTTACATAGCAAAAGAGACTTTACAGGTGGAGTTAAATTAAGGGTCTTGAGATGGGGAGATTATTGTATTTTACCACAATTTAAAAAATAAACTAGGTTTTCTAACATTTCTGTATTATCCAGGTGGGGCCCTGTATAGTCACAAAGATTCTTATGAAAGAGGGTCAGAGTCAGAGAAAGGGACTAACAAGATGCTCAATATTGCTAATTATTAGGGAAATGCAAATCAAAGCCACAATGAAATATCACCTCATAAGGAAGGCTATTATAAAGGAAAACAGAAAATAACACTTTAAACATAAACATTTAAGACACCGCCAAGTTATGTTGACTAGGGTGTGGAGAAATTGAGACCCTTGTGCACTATTGGTGGGGATGTGAAATGGTACGTCTGCTATGAAAAACAGTATAGCAAAAAGTTAAAAATGGAATTTCCATATGATCCAGCAATATAACTTTTGGGTATATAATCAAAAGGATTGAAAGCAAGGTCTTGAAAAGCTATTTGTACACCCATGTTTATAGCAGCATTATTCATAAGAGCCGAAAGGTAAAAGCAACCCAAATGTCCATTGATGGGTGGATGGATAAACAAAATGTGGTGTATCCATACAATGGATATGATTCAGCCTTAAGAAGGAAGAAGGTTCTGATACATGTTATAACATGAATGAATCTTGAGAACATTATGCTAAGTGAAATGAGCCAGTCACAAAAAGACAAATACTGTATGATTCCACTTATATGAGGTACATAAAGTAGTCAAATTCATAGAAACAGAAAGTAGAATGCTGTTTGCCAGGGGCTGGGTGAAATGAGTTATTGTTTAATGGGTATAGAGTTTCAGTTTTGTAAGATGTTAAAAGAAAAACTTCAGCTAAATTAAATTTAAAGGAGTTTAATTGAGCAACAAATGATTTGCAAATGGGGCAGCCCCCAGAATCACAGCAGATTCAAAGAGACTTCAGCGCAGCCACGTGGTGGAAGAAGATTTATAGACTAAAAAACGGAAATGACATACAGAAATCAAAAGTGAGGTACAGAACAGCTGGATTGGTTACAGGTTGGTGTTTGCCTTATTTGAGCACAGTTTCAACACTCAGCAGTGTATTCATGGTTGAAATACGGCCTCTGGGATTGGCCAAGACTCAGCTGTTGTTACAGGTGCATACTCCTAAATTAGGTTTTCAGTCTTGTCTACCTATTAAACCAGGTGGCAATTCGTCCACAGGGACTCAAATATAGAAGTACATAGTCCTTCTCAGGACATATTTAGTTCACTCTAACAAAGATGAAAAAGTTCTGGAGATCTGTTGCATCACAGTGTGAATAGACTTAATGTGACTGAACCATACACCTAGAAATGATTGAGATGGTACATTTTTTTTAGAGACAGGGTCTTGCTCTGTTGCCCAGGCTGGAGTGCAGTGGCATGATCAAGCTCACTGTATGTAACTTTGGACTCCTTGGCTCAAGTGATCTTCTTCCTTCAGCCTCCCAAGTAGCTGAAACTATAGGTATGCACCACCATGCCTGGTTAATTTTACTTTTTATTTTTTGTAAAATAATAAAACAGTGAGACAAGGTCTCACTAGGTTGCCTAGGCTGGTCTTGAACTCCTGGCCTTAAATGAGTCTTCCACCTTGGGCTCCCAAAGCACTGGTATTACAGGCAGGAGCCACCGTGCTGGACAGAGGTGGTACATTTAATGTGTATTTTACCACACTTTAAAAAACTAGCTTTTCTAATGAAAAGGAAGTTAAGAGAGTCAGAGAAGGAGATGTGACCATGGAAGCAGAGATTACAGTGATATAGGGCCAGGGGTCAAGGAATGGAGGCAGCCCCTAGAAGCTAAAATAGGCAAGGAAACAGTCTCTCCTAGAGCTTCCAGCAGGGCACAGCTCTGCCACTTTATCCTCTTTTTTAATTTCGTAAGATCCATTTTAGACTTTTGACCTCCAGAACTATAAGATAATAAATTCATGTTGTTTTGGCTGGGCACGGTGGCTCACGCCTGTAATCCCAGCACTTTGGGAGGCAGAGGCGGGTGGATCACTTGAGATCAGGAGATTGAGACCAGCCTGGCCAACATGGTGAAACCCCATGTCTACTAAAAATACAAAATTAGCTGGGTGTGGTGGGGCACACCTGTAGTCCTAGCTACTCAGGATGCTGAAGCAGGAGAATTGCTTGAACCTGGGAGGCGGAGCTTGCAGTGAGCCGAGACCGTGCCACTGCACTCACACCTGGGTGACAGAGCGAGACTCCGTATCAAAAAAAAAAAAAAAAAAAATTGTGTTGTTTTAAGCCACTGCATTTGTGGTAATTTGTTATGGCGGTGATAGGAAACTAATATATCACCTATTTTCCTAAAGTCATATTTTATATTTTCTTATTAATTACTTGGTGCTGCATGTAATTCGTTTTAATTTTGTTAATACACATAACTGTATTCTTTCTAATGTACCTTATTTCCAGAAACCCGACTCAAGATAATGTTCAAGTGGTCAGGGAGCAGAGCCTTAGTTCACCACCCCATAGCTCTTACCTGCATCAGGTCGAACCTACCAAGAGGATATTCTAATATTTCCCTTACGTTATGTTAAAAACAAGAACTATAGTAAAATGCTCACAAACTTTTCTGACAATAAACACTTGGCATTTCAAAATCTGAGCCTTGGGATAAGGAGTGATAAATGTCCCAAATTAGGTGGGGCCACTTAGCAGAATAAAATGGTGGTGAGAAACTCAAGCTTTAGAGTTAGTGAGCCCAAGGTCAGACCCCAGCACTGACAGACACACTGTCTGGCCATGGGGAGCGCTTCGCATAATTACCAAAAATTGTCATAACTTAGGTATTTGTGAGCATTAAATAATGCCGCTGACTTTAAGTGCATAGGCAATGTCCGTGGCACCTATTATGTGCTCAATAAAAGATGCTGCTGTGTTGGTTCTTATTGTGATATCCGTGATTCTTGATTATGAAGCTGAGTTCAAGGTGAGCAGCTTTTGCTGTTTTCTGTGTACCATCTACATGACAGAGTGTTAAGGTCACCTCACAGACTGCCAGGCCGATGTGTGATAGCTCTCTTTTGTGGTTCAACCCCGAATGGAGAGAATACTTGAAATATTGCCAAAAGTCTGACCTGATTTATGTCGTGGAAATGAAAAAGTAGTCATTCGACTTCTTTCCACAGCTATCTGCACACAAAAGGTCAATAGAAAGGTCTCTGGGCTCTAAACGAGAATCCTGTCAATGAGATTACAGTAGTTTCCCCTGACCTTCAGTTTCGCATTCCAAGAATATTAAATGGAAAATTCCAGAAATAAACAATTTGTAAGGTTTTTCCCCAACACAAAACATGGATGTATGATTTATAAGTTTTAAACTGCGTGCTGTTCTGAGTAGTGTGGTCTAATCCGGCTCCGTCCTGCCCTATCCTGCATGGGGCATGAATCATCCTTTGTCCAAGCTGTACACACTACCTGCCCATTACTGTACAGGAAGACACATGGTGTATATAGGGTTCAGTACTATCCATGGTTTCAGGCATCCACTTGGGGTCTTGTAATGTATCCCCCATGAATGGGGGGGATTACTGTGTACACAATCCTACTGACCACCATTACCAATGATAGTCATTTAGGAGGACGCACTTTAAATATAGACATTTAAGACACCACCAAGTTATTGGAAGAGAAAAACACACAAAAAAATTTTAATGCCTAAAAACAGAAACAAAAAACCCACCAAGCACCAAGCAGATTATATGAACTAATATATTATGATGTCCAAAAGATGTTATTAATTGGGAAATGCAAGCTATGTAGAATTCTATACAAGGTCTGATCCAATTTTTGTAAAATAAGATCATATGTATTTATATATGTACAGACATCTGAAATATTCCCTTTCTACACTGTCCTGGTTTTCATAAACGTATTTTACAATGGATATGTTTAACATTAGCAATTAGAAAACTGGTAAAGATAAATGTTATTGCCACAAGCATTTTTAATTTCAGTTTGTCCTCGGCTGTTACAGAGAATTGATACAAAAAATGATCATGTGAAGAATTTGCATCTTCTGCAGAACTACCGGTATCAGTCAGCAGTAGGAGATTGTAAGTAGCAGAAATCCAGCTTGAAGGAGCTGAAACATAAGAAGGAAATTTATTGGCCCCTATCACTGAAGAACAGGAAGGGTGGTTGGATCTGGCCTTGGGAAACTTATAAGCAGCAAAGACTGGCTGGCTCTGTCTCTACTTCTCTTGCTCTTTGTAGGTTGACCCCTTGTACTCCATGTTTACGTCCTTGTGGGTTCCTGACTGGAAAGTCTTATCCCTGTAAGCTCAAGTCGAGAGAGTCCCAGAGAAGGATTCTGTTTGGCTTGGCTGGGTCAGGGACTAATTGCCAAGGTTAGGCATATGGGGTCTTCTCATTGGCAGCCCCCATACCTCCCTAGTACCATAGGGCTGGAGTTGGGGAAATGGCATTTCCCAAACGAAGCATGGCTCTACTCTGGGCAGATAGAGCTGTATTATTATGATGCAGCTTGCAGGGAAAACTTGCAGCATCTGTTATAAAAGTTTCTCAGTGATTAACTTGCCCTTGAGCAAAGGCTCTGAGACAGGAACTGTCAGTGTGCTTGGGGAAGATGGGAAGACTGAGGAGCTCTGTTTAACAGAGTAGTATCTGTATAGGACAGTAGCCACAGACAATGTTGAAAGCCCAGGCTGAGAACAGATAGTAGACAGGCCGTAAGTGCCAGTCGAAGAAATTTAGCTAGACTAACTGATTCCTTTTAAAGTTTCATTACAAGTAATTTTTTTTAACCCAAAGATGTTAAAGTCTTGAGAGCCTCAATTTCAAGTTTTCCAAAACCTGGGTTTTCAGGATCAGAAGCTCACTATTGGAAAATTGAATGCTGTATGCAAATCTTTATTGAATGTCAATTTAATGAGTCTGTTAAAGATATATTGGTGACAAGACTGAGTGAATTAGGAGTTCTATCAAGATACCTTTATATCCTTACTGTAATTCTGCATTTTAACTGGTACCATCTAAATAAGCTTTGATCTGAAAAGATTTTATCCTTTGGAGTTCATAGGAAGCTCTTTGTTTTGATGAAGGTTGTAATCATATCAGTAAGCTGAGAAGTGGCTCGTGGCTAGCATATTTTTTATCTCTGTGGGTGTGTTCCCTGGCTCCAGTGGACTTTGGAGAATGAGCAAATGGATGGTTTCTTGGGAAGAGAGAGAAAGAGATACAGAATTTCAAAGATACAAAGATAATAACCACACGATGGATGGAATCACAGATCAATGTTTGTTTATGTAATTTTAAATAGCCTTCTCCTTCTCCGGTGCCATTGTGTTCCACTGTGTTCCTGGGAAGCCTCGTGTCACCTAACGTGTACCAGGAAAATAGGGTTAACTATGTCCACTGTAACAACTCTGTTTCACTAGTACAGCTTAGGTCAGTTAGAATTCTGCAGAAAGACTTCAGGCAGGGCTGAGTTTTGTCTTTTGTGGACTGGCTATCTGAATTTCAAGATGAACACACCACAGATAACGAATAACAAGCAGTGGCTTTTGGCGACGCTACATGGCAGTATAGTACACTGGCAGCCTTGTTTCTTTTCTATTCTTTTTTTTACATTTTCTCAGAGCAGTGCTATATCATTGTGTTTATTTCCTAGAAAACATTGAGAAGTATTAGGGTTTTCTTTTTTTTTGATCCAGTTTGAGTGACATATCTTGAATATAGAATAGACATATGTGTAGTATTTTATGTGAACAAGCTGAAAAGGAAGACAAAGGGTAAGAAAACTTAGGTAAAGGGAAGGAAATGGTTGGAGAACTTTTTACAATTTCTGAAGACATGAGGACCTTTTTTATAAGCAAAAAAAAAAAGTATCAAGAAGTATTTAGTTAGCTCTGTCCTTCATGAAGTAATGCTTTATGCACCCAAATGAATCACAACAGCATCATAACAATAATGATAGTACTGGTATAGTATTTATCTTGTGCTACTCAGTATTCTAAGTATTTTTACCCATGTTAATTTATGTAGTCCTCACAACAACTGTATGGAATGGATCTATTATTAAACCCATCTTAGATACAGATGAAAAATCTGAGTCATAGAAGGGTGGAATAATCTGTCTATAACTGAGTACCCCCATTTTTCTAAGAGAAAGGGACTTAGTTATTTTTTAAATTATTATTTTCTTCTTTTCTCTTTCCTCCTTTTCCCCTGTTCCCCACTTCCTACTTATCTTTTTAGAAATGCAGTTATCACCTTTACCTTCCCTTCACTAGCCACTCCCTACACAGCAAGCTTGTCTAACTGTGTGCTTACTTAGAAGCTCCAGAGCCAGAACCCTCTCCCACTAGGAGATTGTCTCAGGAGACAACAGTCTGTTTACATTTACAAGCTAAAAGTATGCCCACGACAGAACTCTCTCCTACCTGGGCAGTATCTCAGACAATGGCCACTTTACAACCTAGCTCTGCCTGCGATACCACCAGCTTGACTTCTTGGTAGATAGAAGGCACCAATGCCAGTCACACAGAACCCCACCTGCTCGCTTCGTCTCCTGCATGCTGCTCATCCCAAGTCCCCTGCTTTCTGCCCCAAACGTGAAACAGTACCCTTAAAGGCAGGAGCCTGTACTTCTTCCGCTAAGCTCGCTTTGGAATAAAAAGTCACTTTCTTTATAGCAGACCTTGCTCTTGTTCACTGGACTCTGCAAGCAGCAAGTGACTGAACCTGAGGTCTGGTTACATGTCCATGGCCCACAGTAAACAGTGGTGCCTAATATTAACACTCAAACAGGATGGCTCCAGAGCCCATCCTCTTGACTACTGTGTACTACTTGATTCACAATTTTTCCTTTCCCCCCTTTTTTTTTTTTTTTTGAGACGGAGTCTCGCTCTGTCACCCAGGCTGGAGTGCAGTGGCACAATCTCAGCTCACTACAAGCTCCGCCTCCTGGGTTCACACCATTCTCCTGCCTCAGCCTCCAGAGTAGCTGGGACTACAGGTGCCCCCCACCACACTGGGCTAATTTTTTGTATTTTTAGTAGAGACGGGGTTTCACCATGTTAGCCAGGATGGTCTTGATCTTCTGACCTCGTGATCCGCCCGCCTCAGCCTCCCAAAGTGCTGGGATTACAGGTGTGAGCCACCGCGCCCAGCCCAATTTTTCCTTTTCTACAGAACTTCATGTTCTACAAGCTACTTAACATACCCATGATCTCACATGGATATATAGACAGTAGGGGGACTTTTGCTGAATCTCAGAGACTGCAGATCTCACAGAGCAAGTACATGGAAAGGATGAGATACAAACTCAAATATTCTCAAATGGAGCCATGCTCATTCTCCTAGTCCACGGTTATCTCCCTAAAGGGCAGTAAAACTGTAAGCCAGCAATTCCACTTCTTGGAACTTAGTGTGTG
This sequence comes from Homo sapiens, assembly GCF_000001405.40. NCBI lineage: Eukaryota > Metazoa > Chordata > Mammalia > Primates > Hominidae > Homo > Homo sapiens. The sequence continues at coordinate 30,132,909 of NC_000002.12, read as the reverse complement.
AAACATTTATACCAGGGTACAAAAATATATATAAAGGAAAGTTCATTAAAGCCCTCTTTGTAATACCAAAAAAGCTGGTAATGATCTGAATGTCTATCAGTAAGTAAATAGTTCAATAATTATAATACAGATATACTATGATATCTTGTGCTGTGAGGTGTGTTTATATGTACTAACATAGAATGGCGTTTGTGTAATATTTTTAAAGTGAAAAGAGCAAGTTAAAAGGAGAATTGAAGTCATTATTTTAAAAATCTTGGTTATAGGCCAGACACGGTGGCTCACGCCTATAATCCTAGCACTTTGGGAGGCTGAGGTGTGTGGATCACTTGAGCCCAGGAGTTCAAGACCAGCCTGAGCAACATGGTGAAACCCCATCTCTGCAAAAAATACAAAAATTAGCCAGGCGTGGTGGTGTGTACCTGTGGTCCCAGCTGCTGGGAAGGCTGAGGTGGGAGGAACATTTGAGCCCAGAAGTTGAGCCGTGATCACGCCACTGCACTCCAGCCTGGATGACACAGCAAGACCTTGTCTCAAAAAATAAAATAAAATAAATTTTAAAAAATCTTGGTTATGTAAGTGTGTTTTTATTCTTTCAATAATTATTATTAGGGCACTTACTATGTACCAAGCACTGCTTTAGAAATTGGGGGTACCATGCTAAGACCAAGTCCTTGCCCTTCATGGGTGGTGGACTGTAATGAGAGAGAAACTGAAAAAGTAAATAATTAAATACTTGCAGAAGATTGCAGGTGCCTTGAAGAAAACTAGGCAGTGGAGTTGGGGTAGGGTGGCTATTTGAGGTTGTGTAGGAAGGAATATTTGAGAAGGGGCAGTGTGTGCAGATGGTAGAAAAGAGCGTCCCAGACAGAGGGGACAGGAAATTGGAGGTCCCTGAGTGGAAGGAGCTCACATGGATTGGCAAGGCTTGTGGGGCATAGGCAATGAAAGGAAGGCGATTGAAAGTGGGGCAGATGCCAGATTTTGTAGGACCAAAGGGGCCGAGTTCTATTCCAAGTGTAATGGAAAGGCAGTGCAGTAGGCCAAAGCTCAATTTCATTTTGTGTTTTAAAACAGTCCCTCTGGTTCTCCTGGAGGCATGAAGATCAGTCCAGAAGTGGATGCGGTGATCTAGGTGAGAGCAGATGGGCCTTACACCAGGGCCACGGTGTAAGGGCATGGGGAGAAATGATGGCATCTGGGGTATATAACATATTCCAGTAGACAGGACTTACTGATGCATTGGACGTGGGATGTGAGGGGAAGAAAGGGATCAGAGCTGACCCTTAGATTTTAGCCTGAGCAATGAAATGAATATTGGAACCCTTTAGTGAGCGGGAAGCACAGGGGCCTCAAGGAATGGCTTTGGCAAGTGGGCATAGGGTGAGGAGAGTCAGGAGTCGTATTTTGGACTTGTTGAATTTGAGCTGTGTGTTTGGAGTAGGAGATGTTTCTTGGAGGTGGTTGTGTATTCCTATGTATGTGTTACCTCTCTGGAGTTGAATGGGAGACAGTTCAAGTGAAACTTACCCTTTTCCTCCGTAAGCTTCAGGATCTTCTAAAAAACATTATTTATTTATTTTTTTACAATAAACATATTTTTCTTTTATAATTTTTAAAGTTCAAAAGAAAAAATGTGTATAAGTGGAGATATATGGGTTTGTGTAAAACAGGAAGTTTTGGAAAGAAACATCATACTGTGAGCAATGAACACCCTTAAGCAGTTTATACAGTTATATATTAATTGGCTTTTTTATTAAAAAATATATTTTTTGAGATGGAGTCTCACTCTGTCGCGCAGATTGGAGTGCAGTGGCGTGACCTCGGCTCACCACAACCTCCACTCCCCTCCCCACACAGCCCCGCCCGCCCGGGTTCAAGGAATTCTCATGCCTCAGGCTGCAGAGTAGCTGAGACTACAGGCATCGGCACCACGCCTGGCTAATTTTTTTGTATTTTTAGTAGAGACAGGGTTTCACCATGTTCGCCAGGCTGGTGTCGAACTCCTGACCTCAAGTGATCCTCCTACCTTGGCCTCCCAAAGTGCTGGGATTACAGGCATGAGCCACTGTGCCCAGCATGATTGACTTTTTAAAAAGCCTGTAAAACCTTTGTAGTTTTTAAAAAAGAAGTCAATGCAAGTAAGCTCAGGTTATAATCTCTGCACCATCTCTGTTTCCAAGCAGGAACCCAAGGACACTGGTCTCCTTCCTGTACTCCCAGTTCTTAGTAGCCTTCCTCCCTTGTCCATTATATATAAAAACAAAAAATGTGAAATTCTAAATTTGTCTAGTTATATCAAGAACAAAAGTCTGGGTCAGGCACAGTGGATCACTCCTTGAATCTCAGCACTTTGGGAGGCCGAGGCAGGAGGATCACTTAAGCCTAGGAGTTGGAGACCAGCTTGGGCAACAAAGTGAGACCCCCGTCTCAAATTTTTAAAAATTTATTTTAAAAAAAGAAAGAACAAATGAAAGCCCTGAAAGCTGAGCAGAAGTTCTCCAGGAAGCATGCAAAGAATGGGTGCAAAACACAGGACAGTGGGCAGCTCTGGAGAGTGGCCCTCCACTGGCGTACCTGTGCCTGGTACATCACCACACCCTGGGATTAATCACTGCACTGTCCATAAGAAAGATTCATTACAATTATTGGTTAATAGGGTCAAAGAAAATCCCTTCTCTTTGGCAGTAGAGACCACATCCTCAAATTTGAAATCTTAACAAATTCAGTTTGTGGCAACATAGAACCGAAAGGACCTGGAGATTATGTAGCCCATCTCTCTCACTTTACAGACGAGGAATCCACAGCTTTGCGAGGAGTGATTAATCGTTGCAATCCCAGGTGTGATGCTAGAGTGATAGTGAAGTCTAAAGGAGCGGTTTGCCCTTCACGACTTGTCAGATGCCCATCTCTCTCTCTCTGACTTGTCAGATGCCCATCTCTCTCTCTCTCTCAGTCGGCTCAGGCCCCTCAAGAAGCAGATGCCAAGATGGGACTAGATGTGCCAGGGACGAAATGGAGGAAGCCTCTGGGAAGGACAGAGGGACATGAACCTCAGTAGGCCAAAGAGCCAGCTGCCTGCGATGTAGATCTGACACCTGTGGAAGCAGAGAGGGAGGGAAGGAGGACTGGGTAGGAGAAGCTTCAGACAATGGGGCAACCCCAAGAGAAGACAGCCTGTGAGCGGAATCCCGCATCAGGCAGAAATGGCACCCACTGCATGCTCAGGCATGGGGTGGGAGCGCCAGGGACAGTGTGACTCTGTGGCAGGTCTGTGCGGGAAGCTGTGCCCCCTGCAGCTGGTTCTTTTGGAGGGAGGTCTGAGGCCACCACACTCCATCTCTACTTCCTGTACCCATATTCTCCCTGCTGCATCCTCCACTGTGGGCCTGTTCCTATTATCCCCTTCCTACAGGTGCCTGATGCTGTGACCATGTTACACTCCTGGCCACTCTCCAGAGTTGCCCACTGTGCTGTGTTTTGCACCCATTCTTGGCATGCCTCCTGGAGAACTTCTGCTCAGCTTTCAGGGCTTTTGTTTGTTCTTTCTTTTTTAAAAATAAATGTTTAAAAATTTGAGACGGGGGTCTCACTTTGTTGCCCAGGCCAGTCTCCAACTCCTAGGCTTAAGTGATCCTCCTGCCTCGGCCTCCCAAAGTGCTGAGATTCAAGGAGCGATCCACTGTGCCTGGCCCGGACTTTTGTTCTTGATATAACTAGTCAAATTTAGAATTTCACATTTTTTTGTTTTATATATAATGGTATTTTTCTCACTACTGAAACCATCCAATATATTCATGGCACTTGCCTTCAGGGCATGTTCAAAGCTGTGTGCTTGTTCTAAAAATGTTCAGCCGAATCAAATGAGATTTCATATCTCTGTGTACCCACCATCCATATATATGCCCATCCGTCCATCTGTCTCTATTTCGCTCTGTTTCTACCTTTCTGTTTCTTCAAGCCTACTGTTGTCTCAATGTCTTACCCTTGTATGCAGTGTTGGAACACAAACTCCTATGTCTGGGGACACATTCTTTTCCACATTTTCACTATTGTCACAAACATGACTCTAGGAGAATTTTTAAAACCTAATGTCTGTGTTGAGAGTATGGGCAAACGGACAGAGTCTCATACTCTGTTGATGATGATATAAATTGGTGCAATATTTGTGGAGGGCAATGGGCAGAATCGATTACATTTTAAAATAGGCAAAAACTGTTTGGTCTTACATTTTCTACTTCTAGGAAATGAGACTAGAAATACATTGACACAAATAAATAGTTGTTTTCAGCAATATTTGTAATGTTGAAAGGAAAAATGTATATACTTCCACCATTATAAGAAATGATAAATCATGACACAGTCATTCAGTAGAATATTGTGTAGCCACTGATAGCAATAAAATACTGATATAGAAAAAATGCCCAAAATATATTGGATAAGAAAAGCATGTTGCAGGACTATGTTTAGTATAATTCAATTTTTGGTTTTAAAAATGTAAATTATATATAAAGGTAGATAGATATTTTAGGTTATGCAAAAAATCAGAGTAGGCTGGGTGCAGTGGCTCACACCTGTAGTCCCAGCACTTTCGGAGGCCAAAGCGGGCAGATTGCTAGAGCCCAGGAGTTCAAGACCAGCTTCGGCAACATGACAAAATCTCATCTGTATAAAAACAAAACAAAACAAAACAAAAATTAGCTGGGCATGGTGGCATGAGCCTGTAGTCTCAGCTACTTGGGAGGCTGAGGTGGGAGGATCGCTTGAGCTCTGGAGGTCAAGGGTGCAGTGAGCTGTAATCGTGACACTGCACTCTAGCCTGGGCCACAGAGCAAGACCCTGTCAAAAAATGCCCCCAAAAACAGAATCAGAGGAAAATATATCAAACCATTAATAGTATTTATCCAGAGGCAGTGTGTGTGTGGGTGGGGGGTATGGGAAGAGGGTGAAGGGAATGAGTAGGGTCTGGGTATCTTACAAGAAACTTTTTATATTATACACTTCTTTAATGCTTATTTTTCAACAAATATATATGTAATATTTTTTAAAAACTAAATTCGTCTTGAAAAATTATGGGACAAAATCACAACCAGTCTATGAACATTGATATAGTCAAGATAGAAAACATTTTTCCACAATCACAAGGATGACTCATGTTGACATTTATAGCCACACCCACTTCCCTCTCACTCTATTCCAGCTTTAATTCCTGGTAACTACTGATCTGTTCTCCATTTCAAAAATGTTATATAAGTGGAACCACACAGTATGTAACCTTTTGGGGATTAGCTTTTCTGTTCACTCGGCATAATTCTCTGGCTATTCCTCCAGGCTGTTCATGTATCATCAGTTCATTCCTTTTTGTTTTATCCTTCCTTCTTTCCTTTCCTTCCTTCCTTCCTTCCTTCCTTGCTTCCGTCCTTCCTTCCTTCCTTCCTTCCTTCCCTCCTTCCTTCCCTCCCTCCTTCCTTCCCTCCCTCCCTCCTTCCTTCCTTCCTTCCTTCCCTCCTTCCTTTTTTTTTTTCTTTGAGAGGATCTTGTTCTGTCGCCCAGGCTGGAGTGCAGTGGCGCCATCTTGACTCACTGCAACCTCTGCCTCCTGGGTTCAAATGATTCTCTTGTTTCAGCCTCCCAAGTAGCTGGGATTATAGGCGTGGGCTGCCAAGTTCATTCCTTTTGGTTGATGAATAGTATTTCATGGTATGGATGTATCACAGTACATGCAATCATTTGTCGTTGATGGCCATCTGTGTTGTTTCCAGTTTTTGGCTCTTATGAATAAAACTGCTTTAAGTATTCATGTACGGGTTTTTTGTGAACATGCTTTGCTACCCCTGTGGGACGTATGCCCACATATGCAATTGCTGGGTCATATGGTAGCTGTGTGTGTGTGGTCTTCTAGTCCACAAACCAGGTATGACTCTCCATTAATTTAGATCTTCTTTGCTTTCTTTTGTCACTATTTTGTAGTTCCAGCATACTAGTCTTATGTTTTCTTAAATTTGCACCCCTTAAGCATTTTATTTTTTGAATAATTATAAATAGCACTTTTTTTTTTTTTTGAGATGGAGTCTCACTCTATCACCCTGGCTGGAGTGCAGTGGCATGATCTCGGGTCACTGCAACCTCTGCCTCCTGGGTTCAAGCAATTCTCCTGCCTCAGCCTCCCGAGTATCTGGGATTACAGGCGCCCACCACCACGCCTGGCTAATTTTTTTGTATTTTTAGTAGAGATAGGGTTTCACTATGTTGGCCAGGCTGGTCTTGAACTCCTGACCTCAGGTGATCTACCTGCCTCAGCCTCCGAAAATGCTGGGATTACAGGTGTGAGGCACTGCACCTGGTCAGTATTCTATTTTTTAATTTTAGTTTTCACATTTATTGCTAGTATGTAGATGTATTAACAATGATTATATTGATTTTTGAACACTGAACTAGCCTTGCATCCCTGGAATAAACCTCACTTGTTCATAGCATGTAATTCTTTTTTTATATTGCTGAATTGTTTTTGCTAATATTTTGGTAACGATATTTGCATCTATATTCATGAGGGATATTGGTCTGCAGTTTTCTGTTTTTGTACTGTCATTGTTTGGCTTTGGTATCAGGGTATACTACCTTCGTAAAATTATTTGGGAAGAATTTCCTCATCTTCTATTTTATGGAAAAGACTGAATAGAATTGGTGCTAATTCTTTAAACTTTTCATAGAATTCTCCAGTGAAGCCATCTGGGCCTGGAGATTTCTTTTTTGGGAGTTTTAAATTTTTACTTGGTAATCATAGGGCTATTCAAATCATATATTCCATATTGGGTGAGCTGGGGTAGTTTGCATTTTTTGAAGAATTGATCCTTTTCATTTCAGTTGTCAAATTTATGGATGTAAAATTGCTTATCATATTCTCTTATTATCTTTTTGATATATGCATGGTCTGTAGTGATATTTCCTCTTTCACTCTTGATATTTGTATCTTTTCTTTTTTCTTTGTCAGTCTTGCTAGAGACTTGTCCGTTTTACTGATCTTTTCAAATAACCAACTTTCTCTTTTATTGTTTTTTCCTATTGTTTTTGTTTTCAATTTACTGAATTCTGCTCTTATCTTTATTATGGGATTACTTCTACTTGTTTTGGTGTTTGTTTTTCTATCTTCTTTCTCAGTGTTCTTAGGTGTGTAGCTAGATTATTGATTTTAGGCTTTTTCTCTTTTCTATTAGAAGTATTTAGTGCTAAAAAATTTCTTTTCAGTGGTGTTCTAGTGGTGTCCCACAAATTTTGGTATGTTTTATTTTAACTTTTGTTCAGTTCAGTGTATTTTTACAATTTCCCTTGAAACTTTCTCTTGGCCCAGGAGATATTTAAAAGTTTGTTGTTTAGTTTCCAAGTGTTTGGAGATTTTCTGTTTTTCTACTATTAATTTTTAGTTTGATCCCATTGTGATCAGAGAATATACTCTGTATGATTTCAATTCTTTTAAATTTGTTGAGTTTTTATTTTTTAAATGACACAGAATATAGTTTTTCTTGATATGTTCCATTGGCACTTGAAAGGAATGTGTATTCTGCTGTTGTTGGATGAAGTGCTCTCTAAATATCAGTTAGATCTTAGTATTAATGGTGTTGAGTGCTATATCTGTCCTGATTTTTCTGTCTTGTTTCTCTATATACTTTTGAGAGAGGTTTAAGTCTCCAGCCACAATTGTGGATTTGTCTGTTTTTCTTTTTAATTCTATTAGTTTTTGCTTCACATATTTTACCTCTGTTTGGTGCATAAACAGTTAGGATTGCTGTGTCTTCTTGGCTGGACTTACTGTTTTATCATTATGTAATGCTCCTCTCTGTCCCTGGTAACTTTTTTTTTGCTTTGAAGTCTACTTTATCTAATGGTAGTATAGCTACTCTTGTATTCTTTTGATTAATGTTTTCATGGTATATTGTTTTCCATTCTTTTACTTTTAAAATCTATATTGTTATATTTGAATTAAATGTCTAGTAGACAACATAGAATTGGATATATATTTTAATCCCTCTGCCAATCTCTCTTAATTAGTATATTAAGACAATTTGAATTTAGTGTAATTATTGCTATGTTAAGACTTAAATATGCTGTTTTTTCTCTCCATTGTTTTCTGTGATTTTTATTTTTTTCCCATTCCTATGGGTTACTTGAAAAAGTTTAAAAATAATTTGTTTCCTCTATAGTACTTTTGGTTTGTTTTTGTTTTTTTTTTGTTTTAAGACAGAGTCTCACCATGTTGTCTAAATAAAGTCTCAAACTCCTGGGCTCAAGCCGTCCTCCCACCTCAGCCCTTTAAGTAGCTGGGTATTACAAGTGCATGCCACTGTGCTTGGCCCTCAGTCGTACTTTTTTGAATGTATGTCTTTGTTAGCTTTTTAAGTTTGTTTCTCTAGGTATTTCATTATATATACATAACTTATTACTGTCTATTGCCAACATTTTACCAGTTCAGATGAATTATAGAAACCTTAGTTCTTTTTGCCATCTCCATTTATAGTTGTCTTACATATTTCCTCCTTACAGAGAACTGGATCAGAGTGTTATAATTTTTGCTTCAATGATCAACTAATTTTAAAAACTGAAGAGCAGGAAATATTGTACTTATCCATATTTTTTGCTTATGTTCTCTTTCTTTCTTCCCATTGTTCCAATATTCTTTTTAAAAAAACATTTTATTTTTCTTTTTAGAGAATGTTCTTAGCTATTCTTTCAGTGTAGGTCAGCTAGCAACAACTTTTTTTTGGTTTTCTTTCATTGAGAGTGTCTTGATTTCCCCTTCATTCCTACAGGGTATTTTCTCTAGATATAGAATTCTGGGTTGACAAGTCTTTTTTCAACACTTGAAAAATGTCGTGCCACTTTCCTTTTGAACTCTATGGCCTCTTTTGTGAAATCTGTTGTCATTCAGATTGTTTTTCCCTTACAAGTAAGATGTCCTTTTTTATTAGAATTTTCTTTTTTTTGTCTTTAGTTTTCAGAAGTTTGACTGTGACATGACTTAGTATAGATTTCTTTGGGTTGATGTTGTTTGGAGTTTTCTCGGCTTCTTGAATCTGTAGATTTGCATCTTTTGCCAATTTGAGGAAGTTTTCAGTTATTATATCTTGGAGGACTTTTTCAGCCTGGCACTTATTTTCCTCTTTTTCCAGGATTCTGATGACATTAGTGTTAGATTTTTTTGTTTTAGTCCCACAGATCCCTAAAGCTCTGTTCTTTTTTTTTTTTTCAGTTTATATTATTTTCTGCTCAGATTGAGTAATTTCTGTCTTCAAGTTCACTGATTTTTTACATTGACTTTTGCTGTAAGCTCATCCATTGAGTTTTATAAAAATTTATTGTGATTCCCACTTCTAAAATTTTCATTGTTTCCTCTTTATGTCTTCTGTTTCTTTACTGTGTGTTTTTATTTGTTTTAAGCGTGTTTGTAATTGCTCATTGAAGGATTTTTATGATGGCTGCTTTAAAAATTTTGTTGGTAACATCTTGTCATCTTGGTGTTGGCATCTTTTTTTTTTTTTTGAGACAGGGTCTCACTCTGTCTGCCAATCTGGAGCACAGTGGCATGATCATGGCTCACTGCAGCCTCAACCTCCCAAGCTCAAGTGATCCTCCCACCTCAGTCTCCCCAGTAGCTGGGACCACAGGCACAGATTACTATACCCAGCTAATTTATTTTAATTTTTTTGTAGAGACGGGGCCTCTACAAAATTACCTATATTACCCAGGCTAGTCTTGAATTCCTGAGCTCCAGTGATCCTCCCACCTTGGCCTCCCAAAGTGCTAGAATTGCAGGGGTGAGCCACAGCACCCAGTGGTGGTGGCATCTATTGATTGTCTTTTTCATTCAGTTTTAGATCTTCCTGGCTCTTGGTATGATGAATATTTTTCTATTGAAATTTGTATACTTTGGGTTTTATGTTATAGGATTTTTAATCTTTTTCAAACCTTCTATTTTAGCTGGCTCTAACAGGTGTCAAATAAACTCTAGTGTGAGCTCAGTAGGGGAAAGGGAAAGTGCTGCCCATTTTGCCAGGAGTGGGGATAGAAGTCCAGATTCTCTATTTTGCCTCCATTGACACCTGTGAGGCAGTGCTCCTCAGTACTGCTGGGTGGAGGTGGGTGTTCTTGATTCCCTCTAGGCTTATACACCCTGGCTGGAAGAGACAGGAGTGCCACTGCTCCCCACATGGCTTCACTGACACCATGGGAGGAGGTGGCTTCATTTTACTAGGCAGTGGTATATGTCTTAACTCTCCACCAGGCCTCCTCCAAGCCCCTAGCCCCTCCCTAGTGGGGACAGGGAGGGGTGTCTCATTACCGCTGGTTGGGGGCGGAATTTGAGGCTCCCCACATGGTCTCCACTGCCACCACATGGCTGGATGGTGGGAGGTAGGAGGGGTCTCTGCCACCTGGTAGAGATGAAACCTCTGGCTCCACGCTTGGCCTTCTCTGACACCACCCTGGGAGGGGGCTTGGGGCACCTTGATACAGCCTGGTGAGGGTGGAGGTTGAGGCTCCCCACTGGCCTTTGCTGGTGAGGGTGGGTATGGGGCCACTGTTGCTGTTGTTTCCTGTAGCATTTGGCTGGAGTTGAGTGGCTGCTGTCTAAAGATTTTCTCTTTTGCTAGGCTGCCCTTTTCCTGGTCCTTTGCTAAAGAAAGCAGACTTTTGTTGGGGATGTTTTTGTGTGCGCCTTTTGCCATTTCTGAGTTGCCAGCTCCTTTAGCTCCAAGACAACAAGAAAGCTCCAGGGACTCACTACTGAATCATTCCTTGTGGCCCAAGGCCCCTAGCCTGTCTCCCTCCTTCTCTCCATCTTCAGATTCTCCTCTGTTTGTTTATATATAATGTCCAGGGTTTTTACTTGTATTTAGAGGTAAAAATAGGGAAAAGTATGCCTACTCCATCTTCCTGGAAGCAGAAGTCCTTGGGTAACATTGAAAAAAGGGCAAACTGTAAGAATAGAATCCAATGTCAGCTCAGCTCACTATTTACTCAAGAAGCCCTGCAGGGCACACAGCAGGGATTGCACCAGGAGATGTGAGGAGGGGGAGCAGGTGGGTCTCCTGTCACAAGCTGGATTTTTCTAAGATTGGGATGGAGTGAGTGCTAGGGCTAGTGCTGGAACCCACCAGACCACACTGGCCATGGCTCACACAAAGGCCCCTGGAGAAGAGGACTTCTTACTTACTGTGAGAAGTAAGTCACAGGCCACATTCCTAGCCAGGGTCCATTACTCTCCGAGGGCCCCCACTCTAGTCATGCAGACGTTCCTTTGCTTCCTCAAATAAGCCAAGTCCATTCCCACAGCCTCAGTATGTCTTCTGTTATGGTTCCCTCTTACCCAAAGGCTCTAACCCCTCAATGGTTACTGGCTTCCTCCTTCAGGTACTGCGTCAATGCCAGCTCTTCAGAAAGGCCCCCTGAAGACTCTTCCTGAAGCAGACTCAGAGATGGAGTTAGCATGTAGGAGCTCCAGTAGGGAGTGCTTTTGGGATCAAAGCCTATGGAAGGGAATGGAAGGGGAAAGGAGACGAAGGGGAAGGGGAGAAGGAAGGGGAAGGCAGGGAAGCAGGATTGTGTAGAGGGAGATGCCAAGACTCCATGGAAGCCACCGCTAACCTACCAGGGCAAGCTGAAGGTGGGATGAGCTTTCATAGCTGTCCTGACTTGGGAAGAGAAGGTCAGGCCTTTGTACACCTGTATTGCCAGTCACAGGGTGTGTGTTACCCCGAAAAGGGATGTGACCCTTGGCAAGACAGCCTTCTTTACTGAGGTCATCCCCAGGGTTGGTGACTGCAGAGGCTGGCCTTGCAGCCTCCAGGCTCCTTCATTCTGAAGGGTGCTGTGGGTGACATGCCACGGACCTGCCACACTTACCTTTCTTCAGCTAGTGACAAAGAGCTCTGATCACAATGCTTCTCTGTGGCCAGACCTGGGGACTGACGGTACCTGTTGATCGTCTATGTCCTTGATGCTGTTCTTGAGGAAGGGGTAAGCCCTGGACATGGAATGCTTTCCCTGGTTGTTCAGGCTGGATCCCAGCAATGAGTGCAGAGTTCTTACTCTGTTCCCTTTCATCGTGTCTGGCTCCAGCCAACTTGGCTTCAATTTAATCTCCTCTTTTTTCAAGACTAAGCTGCCACCTTTAAAGACATTATTGTTAACAGTACTAATAATATGACTATAATTGATTGAGCATTACTATGTTTCAATCAATTTACATATTTTATTTTATTGAGTGCTCATAAACACTCTATGTGGTAGGAATTATTATTGCTCATTTTGCATATGAGAAAACAGAGGCTCAGAGAGGTTAAATCACTTGCCCAAAGCCTACAAGTTACTAAGAAGCAGGGTCGGAACCAAACTCTTGTGCTTTTCCCACCATCCAGTGCCATCTGTATCCTGTTCAGCAGGGTCTCAGCTGGCTTAACAGAGCCATTATCATGTAGCAATACAGCACATTCACTTTGTCCTCTGTACAAAATGAGACTGTCATATGCAATTTCAGTTTTAAAAAGGATTTGGAAGAAAATATTTCAAAATATTTACTTGGGTTACCTCTAGACTAGTTAGGGTTACAGATGATTTTGAAAAAACTTTAGCATTTTCTAACAATTTTACAAGAACATGTATTACATATATAAATAGGAAAAAAAAAACCTTTTAAAAAGGAAAGTAAATAGTGAGACAACAAAAATTGTTCAGAAATGAAGCCAGCTGTCAGTGGGCATGGTGGGAAAGAAAAGCAACAGAGCCTGAGAATAGTCACGATTTGTGGACTCTGCCCTCATTTGTTAAAATGATTCCATTTATATCCTAGATGTCTCTGAAATGCAGATTCTAAATCTATTTTTTCTAAGTCAGAGTCTATTTTGGAAAGACTAGGGAAAGTGCTTATATAAATATTGTAGTAATTTCCTCATAAAGTTATAATCATACATCTATTTGTACCTTACAGTTTACAAAGCACTGAACGTATACTCTCTAGTTTGATCCTCCCAACAGTAATGTGTAAGGCGTTGCTTTCTTCTTTCTACAGGTATAAATTCAGCCTGAGATTCCAGAATATTCTGTGTATTGACCACCACAGCAAGAAGAAAAAGTCCATGTAGGACTGAAATGTAAGTCTTACGATTGCTCAACCTGGTCTCTCTACCATAACACCTTTGAATTGAGTTATCTCACAAATAATAATTTCCATGTCTACTTGAAGTGGATTTGTTTATAGAGCATTGCTTTCATTAATTCATTCTGCAGCTGCTGAGTGCTAGGGTAAGCCAGGCTTTCTCCCTTGCCTGGGGATGCAGCAGTGAACAAAGTGGACATGATCCTCCTCTCTTGAGTTTTAGTCTGTGGGCCAGGAGTTGGGGGGTAGGAGAGGAAACTAGAGGAGCAGGGTCATTTCCTCTGGGGGTTGAGAATGATGAAGATGAAAAGCATAATGCTGGGGGAGACAGAGACTTGTTGGTGTGTGGGTGTGGGGCCACTTCAGGAAGAGTCTTCAGGGGGCCTTTCTGAAGAGCTGGCATTGACGCAGTACCTGAAGGAGGAAGCCAGTAACCATTGAGGGGTTAGAGCCTTTGGGTAAGAGGGAACCATAACAGAAGACATACTGAGGCTGTGGGAATGGACTTGGCTTATTTGAGGAAGCAAAGGAAGGTTTGCATGACTAGAGTGGGGGCCCTCAGAGAGTAGTGGATCCTGGCTAGGAATGTGGCCTGTGACTTACTTCTCACAGTAAGTAAGAAGTCCTCTTCTCCAGGGACCTTTGTGTGAGCCATGGCTAGTGTGGTCTGGTGGGTTCCAGCACTAGCCCTAGCACTCACTCCATCCCAATCTTAGGAAAACACGTCCCTGCATTCCCAGCCTCAATTTCCCTAGGAAGAGGGTTGTCACTGTCCTCTTCCTACTGAATTCATTTTTTCCCTTCCTCACAAGACGACAACCTCTGTGAAGACTGTAATGAGGTCACTCCTTTCTAACTTCTCCACACTCCCAACCCATCCATACACCTACACCCAGAAGCATCCAGGCCATTTTTGTTCTATCATGGCAGATCAACTGATATACAAGCTAGGGATTTAAGAAATACACAGGGGTTGGAATAAGCTGGATTTATTGGCCAATTGTAAAAACTGATACTAATATTTATTAGCTATAGAAAGAAAAATAGAGGCCTGCGTAGGCACTGTAGCCAGCTGCTAGCTCCCAGCCACCCCCACCATCCGGGTCTGGGGACAGAGCCCACTCTCCAGTCCTTTCCTGCCCCCAGGGATGACTTGCAGGGAGGATGATGCTGTCTTGCCTGGGATTTACCCATCCAAACAGCCCATATTTCACACCTGTGGCTCCCCACTAACTACATCTCCTCTGAAGAATTAGTGAAAGGAAGGAGTCTTGCGGGAGGGGTAGGTGATGTTTGCTTAGCTTCATGCCCAGGGATAAAAGAGCAAGCTTTCCAAAATTCCAGTCTGATCTGTACTCCCCCACTTCATGCTGGGCTGGGCTCCCCATCACCCTCAGAAAGAAGTCCCCTGCCCTGGCCAGGCGCTTTTGCTCACGCCTGTAATCCCAGCACTTTGGGAGGCCGAGGCAGGTGGATCACGAGGTCAGGAAATCGAGACCATCCTGGCCAACATGGTGAAACCCCAGCTCTACTAAAAATACAAAAATTAGCTGGATGTGGTGGTAGGTGCCTGTAATCCTAGCTACTCGGGAGGCTGAGGCAGGAGAATCACTTGAACTGGGGAGTCAGAGGTTGCGGTGAGCCGGGATCGTGCCACCGCACTCCAGCCTGGCGACAGAGACTCCGTCTCAAAAAAAAAAGAAGTCCCCTGTCCTTACACTTTCAAGTCCTGCAAATTCTAGCCCCCGCCTGCCTTCCTTGGGGTGCCCCCGCTCCATGTTCTGTTTCTCTGGCTCTGTCTTCTGGCCTTTCTTAGTCCCTGGCATTGGCCATTCTTGCTTCTTCCCTATGGTTGAGAATTCTCTGTGCCTTTCCCCTTGCCTCACTCCTTGGCAGGTGAGCTCATTCCCACTTTCATCCCTCATGTCTCATTTAAATATGGCTGCCTTTTGGACCCCCTGGGAGAGAAGTTTTCTGTTCCCCGTTCCTTCAGCCCCCCAAGCCCCATCTTTGGCATCTTGTCATAATTTGCCTTTAATGGCTGGCTTCCCTGTTGGCTATAAGACCCGGAGGACAGTGGCTGCATTTGTCCTGTTCGCAGGTGGGTTTTTTTGGGTGAAGGGCGACAGGATGTCAC